>NC_000021.9:7550890-7693700 GCF_000001405.40 Homo sapiens
GATCCATGGGAGAAGTGTGGTTTCTCAGGGTCACGTATTTGCTCACCACTTCCTTGGGCAGGGTAGGTTCCCTTTGGTCTGTGTTACTCCCGGGTGGGCGGTTGCCATGCCCTTCTTTTTCCCATGGGTTGAGCTGTTTCCTTCATTAGTCCCACTGCAAATATCTGGGTGTTTCAGTTGATGGTGCTGTATTTATTTTCCCTCTTTGTTTCTTTTCATGAAAGCCACACACCATAGCTACTTCTAGTCAACCCTCTTGGCACACTTTGCTACAATATTTCAGTAGATGGTTTTTATCCTGTAGGCTGTCTCATGGTCCCATATGGCTGGCTGTAGGAGCACAAGCCTGCACCAGCAACCATGTCCATTTCAAAGGCTAAGAAGTAGGAAAGATGCAAGGTCAAAGTGGCTTGCACAGCTGCATCAGCTCCATCTGAGGAATCTCCCTGAAGTCCCATCAATACTTATGGTTACAACCAATTGTCTTGAATAGGGGTCAGAAACTATAACCTTTGTGTTTGTAAGTTGCTGTTTGAATAAAACTAAATTTCTAATTTTGTGTTTTGTTTTGTTTTGTTTTGTTTTGTTTTGTTTTGTTTGATGGAGTCTCACTCTGTCACCAGGCTGGAGTGCAGTGGTGTGATTTTGGCTCACTGAAACCTCTGACTCTTGGGTTCAAGTGATTCTCCTGCCTCAGCCTTTCAAGTAGCTGGGATTACAGGTGTGCTTGCATCACCATGCCCAAAATGCTGGGATTACAGGCATGAACAACCACACCCAGCCCTGACTCTCTGTTTTTAAGAGTGAAAGCAAAATTAAAACTGTGGCGATGACAAGTGCTCTTTTTCTACACTAAATTCAAAGGTAAACAGAAGAAGATGGAGGTTTTCTCAGGTGAAGTGGGCACTCATTTTTCAAACAAAGCCTTTTTTGGTGATTATTTATTTTCAGATCAGATGGGAAAAAAATCTGGGTTCTTGTAAGCACTCCCTTTATGACCAAATGTTAGTCAAGCTTAACTGAACCCTCTTTTTGACTAAGCCAACCTTGACTTCTTGCCCTGCTCCTGGTTTGAGAGGCTCACTTTCATAAATCCTGCTAATACTGTTTAGTAAAAATCCACATATCCCTTATGTCTACTAATATCGTGATTCCCTTTCTTTGATATTTAAGTCCTTAGCCAACCTGTAACCAGCCTTCTGCTATAAAAAGTTCCTCTTCCTCCTTTGGTATTTTATCAAATGTTTTTCAATAATTTTTATCCACTGATTTATTCTGCTTATTGACTATAAATTCTTCGTTGTCTGTGTTCAGAGTTATGATCAATTTCTGAACTGAACCCTATTACGATGGCCATAAAATCTACTACAATAGTATTAATGTCTTTCTTCCCAATTTTTAACAAACATCAGAAATTTTTATTTCACAGTTTCCCAACAGTATGTTTGAGTATAAAAACAGTTTTCAGTTTGCCCCCAAAAATGATGTGATCCACTGTGTAGATGTGTATGCCTGATCCTTGTGTCCAAAAAAGTATGTTTTTATTTAAATGGGGTGAGGGTGACAGATTATAGAGCCAATGTTTTCCTAAAATGCTGAGTCATAAGTGAAACCATACAAATCAAGAATATAGAATGCTTGGACTCCAACGTTTTTAACCCTGAGGATATTTTGATGTCCATAATTTATATTACTGTGAAAATAATGCACAAGAAAGAAAACTGATAGCTCTCCCTCTCCCTCTCCCTCTCCCTCACCCTCTCCATCTCCCCACGGTCTCTCTCTCCCTCTCTTTCCACGGTCTCCCTCTGATGCCGAGCCGAAGCTGGATGGTACTGCTGCCATCTCGGCTCACTGCAACCTCCCTGCCTGATTCTCCTGCCTCAGCCTGCCGAGTGCCTGCGATTGCAGGCGCGCGCCGCCACGCCTGACTGGTTTTCGTATTTTTTTGGTGGAGACGGGGTTTCGCTGTGTTGGCCGGGCTGAGCTCCTAACCGCGAGTGATCCGCCAGCCTCGGCCTCCCGAGATGCCGGGATTGCAGACGGAGACTCGTTCACTCAGTGCTCAATGGTGCCCAGGCTGGAGTGCAGTGGCGTGATCTTGGCTCGCTACAACCTCCACCTCCCAGCAGCCTGCCTTGGCCTCCCAAAGTGCCGAGATTGCAGCCTCTGCCCGGCCGCCACCCCGTCTGGGAAGTGAGGAGCGTCTCCACCTGGCCGCCCATCGTCTGGGATGTGAGGAGCCCCTCTGCCTGGCTGCCCAGTCTGGAAAGTGAGGAGCGTCTCTGCCCGGCCGCCATCCCATCTAGGAAGTGACGAGCGCCTCTTCCCGGCCGCCATCACATCTGGGAAGTGAGGAGCGTCTCTGCCCGGCCGCCCATCATCTGAGATGTGGGGAGCACCTCTGCCCTGCCGCCCCGTCCGGGATGTGAGGAATGTCTCTGCCCGGCCGCCCCGTCTGAGAAGTGAGGAGACCCTCTGCCTGGCAACCACCCCGTCTGAGAAGTGAGGAGCCCCTCCGCCCGGCAGTCACCCCGTCTCGGAAGTGAGGAGCGTCTCCGCCCGGCAGCCACCTCGTTCGGGAGTGAGGTGGGGGGGTCAGCCCCCCGCCTGGCCAGCCACCCCATCCGGAAGGGAGGTGGGGGGTCAGCCGCCCGCCCGGCCAGCCGCCTCCTCCGGGAGGGAGGTGGGTGGGTTAGCCCCCCACCCGGCCAGCCGCCCCATCCGGGAAGTGAGGGGTGCCTCTGCCTGGCAGCCCCTGATGGGAAGTGAGGAGCCTCTCTGCCCGGCCAGCCGCCCCGTCTGGGAGGGAGGTGGGGGGTCAGCCCCCCGCCCGGCCAGCCACCCCTTCTGGGGGGGAGAGAGGTGGGCGGGTCAGCCCCCCGCCCGGCCAGCCGCCCCGTCCGGGAGGTGAGGGGTGCCTCTGCCCGGCCACCCCTACTGGGAACTGAGGAGCCCCTCTGCCCGGCCAGCCACCCCATCCGGGAGGGAAGTGGGGGGGTCAGCCCCCCGCCCAGTCAGCCGCCCCGTCCGGGAGGGAGGTGGGGGGTCAGCCCCCCGCCCGGCCAGCCGCCCCATCCGGGAGGGAGGTGAGGGGGTCAGCCCCTCGCCCGGCCAGCCGCCCTGTCCAGGAGGGAGGTGGGGGGGTCAGCCCCCAGCCTGGCCAGCCGCCCCGTCCGGGAGGTGAAGGGCGCCTCTGCCCAGCCACCCCTACTGGGAAGTGAGGAGCCCCTCTGCCCTGCCACCACCCCGTCTGGGAGGTGTACCCAACAGCTCATTGAGAATGGGCCATGATGACAATGGCGGTTTTGTGGAATAGAAAGGGGGGAAAGGTGGGGAAAAGATTGAGAAATCGGATGGTTGCCGTGTCTGTGTAGAAAGAGGTAGACATGGGAGACTTTTCATTTTGTTCTGTACTAAGAAAAATTCTTCTGCCTTGGGATCCTGTTGATCTGTGACCTTACCCCCAACCCTGTGCTCTCTGAAACATGGGCTGTATCCACTCAGGGTTGAATGGATTAAGGGCGGTGCAAGATGTGCTTTGTTAAACAGATGCTTGAAGGCAGCATGCTCCTTAAGAGTCATCACCACTCCCTAATCTCAAGTACCCAGGGACACAAACACTGCGGAAGGCCACAGGGTCCTCTGCCTAGGAAAACCAGAGACCTTTGTTCACTTGTTTATCTGCTGACCTTCCCTCCACTATTGTCCTGTGACCCTGCCAAATCCCCCTCTGCGAGAAACACCCAAGAATGATCAATTAAAAAAAAAAAAGAAAACTGATAATGCTTAAAATTAAACATGGTGCAACGTATCACTGACTAAAAACTGATATAAGAAAACATTATTCCAAAAAACATTTGGGTATCCACCACTTAACCCAGGAAAGTAGACCGTGTAGAAATAATGGTCCCTACAGACAATTTGTAGAAGCAGAATCTATAAATTATGATGTGAAAAATTCAGGTAATTTTTGTTTAAATATAGTGATCCTGATAAAAATTCAATTGAATTAAAAATTAGAGAAGATTAACTTGAATTAGTTATGTTTTTATAAAATATAAATTATGAAGTTAAAACGTAATATATAAGTATGCTCTGGAAAACACATTCTCAAATGAATAAAATTTCTTTTTATTGGATTAGTTGAATGTTTGATGTTATCTGTTTATTAAACCCAAGGGGATATCACCACCGATCCCACAGAAATACAAACTACCATCAGAGAATACTATAAACACCTCTATGCAAATAAACTAGAAAATCTAGAAGAAATGGATAAATTCCTCGACACATACACCCACCCAAGACTAAACCAGGAAGAATTTGAATCTCTGAATAGACCAATAACAGGCTCTGAAATTGAGGCAATAATTAATAATTAGCTTTCCAACCAGAAAAAGTCCAGGACCAGATGGATTCACAGCCAAAATCTACCAGAGGTACAAGGAGGAGCTGGTACCATTCCTTCTGAAACTATTCCAATCAATGGAAAAAGAGGGAACCTCCCTAACTCATTTTATGAGGACAGCATCATCCTGATACCAAAGCCTGGCAGAGACACAACAAAAAAAGAGAATTTTAGACCAATATCTCCGATGAAGATCTATGCAAAAATCCTCAATAAAATACTGGCAAACCGAATCCAGCAGCATATCAAAAAGCTTATCCACCATGATCAAGTGGGCTTCATCTCTGGGATGCAAGGCTGGTTCAACATACACAAATCAACAAACGTAATCCACCTTATAAACAGAACCAATGACAAAAAAACCATGTGATTATCTTGAGATATCAAGAGATGCAGAAAAGGCCTTTGACAAAATTCAACAACTCTTCCTGCAAAAAACTCTCAATAAATTAGGAATTGATGAGACGTATCTCAAAGTAATAGGAGCTATCTCTGACAAAGCCATAGCCAATATCATACTAAATGGGCAAAAGCTGGAAGCATTCCCTTTGAAAACAGGCACAAGACAGGGATGCCCTCTCTCACCACTCCTATTCAACATAATGCTGGAAATTCTGGCCAGGGCAATCAGGAAGGAGAAGGAAATAAAGGGTATTCAATTAGGAAAAGAGGAAGTCAAATTGTCCCTGTTTGCAGATGACATGATTGTATATCTAGAAAACCCCATCATCTCAGCCCAAAATCTCCTTAAGCTGATAGGCAACTTCAGCAAAGTCTCAGGATACAAAATCAGTGTGCAAAAATCATTAGCATTCTTATACACCAATAACAGACAAACAGAGAGCCAAATCGTGAGTGAACTCCCATTCACAATTGCTTCAAAGAGAATAAAATACCTAGGAACCCAACTTACAAGGACGTGAAGGACCTCTTCAAGGAGAACTACAAACCACTGCTCAATGAAATAAAAGAGGATACAAACAAATGGAAGAACATTCCATGCTCATGGGTAGGAATAATCAATATCGTGAAAATGGCCATACTGCCCAAGGTAATTTATAGATTCAATGCCATCCCCATCAAGCTACCAAAGACTTTCTTCACAGAATTGGAAAAAACTACTTTAAAGTTCATAAGGAACTAAAAAAGAGCCCTCATTGCCAAGTCAATCCTAAACCAAAAGAACAAAGCTGGAGCCATCACGCTACCTGACATCAAACTATACTACAAGGCTACAGTGACCAAAACAGCATTGTACTTGTACCAAAACAGAGATATAGACCAATGGAACAGAACAGAGCCCTGAGAAATAATGCCACATATCTACAACCATCTGATCTTTGACAAACCTGACAAACACAAGAAATGGGGAAATGATTCCCTAGTTAATAAATGGTGCTGGGAAAACTGGCTAGCCGTATGTAGAAAGCTGAAACTGGATCCCTTCCTTGCACCTTATACAAAAATTAATTCAAGATGGATTCAAGACTTAAATGTTAGACCTAAAACCGTAAAAACCCTAGAAGAAAACCTAGGCAATACCATTCAGGACATAGGCATGGGGAAGGACTTCATGTCTAGAACACCAAAAGCAATGGCAACAAAAGCCAAAATTGACAAATGGGATCTAATTAAACTAAGGAGCTTCTGCACAGCAAAAGAAACTACCATCAGACTGAACAGGCAACCTACAGAATGGGAGAAAGTTTGTGCCATCTACTCATCTGACGAAGGGCTAATATCCAGAATCTACAACGAACTCAAACAAATTTACAAGAAAAAAACAACCCCATCAAAAAGTGGGTGAAGGATATGAAGACCCTTCTCAAAAGAAGACATTTATGCAGCAAAAAGACACATGGAAAAATGCTCATCATCACTGGCCATCAGAGAAATGCAAATCAAAACCACAATGAGATACCATCTCACACCACTTAGAATGGCGATCATTAAAAAATCAGGAAACAACAGGTGCTGGAGAGGATGTGGAGAAATAGAAACACTTTTACACGGTTGGTGGGACTGTAAACTAGTTCAACCATTGTGGAAGTCAGTGTGGCGATTCCTCAGGGCTCTAGAACTAGAAATACTATTTGACCCAGCCATCCCATTACTGGGTATACACCCAAGGGAGTATAAATCATGCTGCTATAAAGGCACAAGCACAAGTATGTTTATTGCGGCACTGTTCACAATAGCGAAGACTTGGAACCAACCCAAATGTCCAACAATGATAGACTGGATTAAGAAAATGTGGCACATATACACCATGGAACAAAATGCAGCCATAAAAAATGAAGAGTTCATGTCCTTTATAGGGACATGGATGAAGCTGGAACCATCATTCTGAGCAAACTATCCAAGCACAAAACACCAAACACCGCATGTTCTCGCTCATAGGTGGGAATTGACCAAAGAGAACATATGGGCAGAAGAAGGGGAACATCACAATCCGGGGCCTGTTGTGGGGTAGGGTGAGGGGGGACGGATAGCATTTGGAGATATACCTAATGTTAAATGGCGAGTTACTGGGTGCAGCACACCAACATGGCACATGTATACATATGTAACAAACCTGCATGTTGTGCGCATGTACCGTAAAAGTTAAAGTATAATAAAAAAATAAAATAAAATAAAATTTAATTAGAAATGAAAAAAGAAAATTCTACAACTTGAAACTAGATAGAAGATAGATCAGAAACAAAAATAGGAGTAAAGTGTGACTTTCTTCTCACTGTTTGATTATTATAGAGGCATTTTTATTTCATTAAAATCTTATATTTCTGGGGCTAGTTAATGTTATGATATTTTATTTTTAAATAGTTTTATTTTATTTACTTCAGTTAATTTGTAATTTTTGAGGATGCATTGTAGGTGTATATACTTATGGGGTTCATGAGATGTTTTGATGCGGTCTCGCAATGCATAATAATCACATCATAGAGAATGGGATACCCACCCACTCAAGCATTTATTCTTTGGGTTAAAATCTGATTATTCCTTCTTAGCTAGTTTAAAATGTACAATTACATTATTATTGACCAGAGTCATCTCGTTGTGCTATCAAATAATATGTCTTATTTATTCTATTTTTTTGTACACATTAACAGTCCCCACCTTTCCCCCAGCCTCCACTGTCTTTCTTAGCTTCTGAAAACCATCCTTCTGCTCTCTATGTCCGTGAATTCAGTTGTATTAATTCTTCCATCCCACGAATAAGTGAGAACGCACAGTGTTTATCTTTCTGTGCCTGGCTTATTTCACTTAACATACTCTTCTCTTTTATCCACGTTGTCGTAAAAGACAAAATCTCATTTTTATGGCTGAATACTACTCCAATGTATATATGTACTACTTTTTTTATACATTCATTCATTTGTAGACAGTTTGCTTTCAAATCTTAGCTATTGTAAACAGTGCAGCAACAAGCCGATTTTCTTTCTTTTGTGTCAATGCCCATCACTGGGATTGTTGGGTTGCATTGTAGCTGTGGCAGCTCAATTTTTAGCTTTTTGAGGAACCTCCACACTTTTTTATAGTGGTTATACTAATTTACATTCCCACCAAGAGTGCACTAAAGTTTTCTCCACATCCTCGTCAGCACTTGTTATTGTCTGTCTTTGGGATATAAGACATTTTAACTGGAGTGAGATAATGTCTTATTGTAGTTCTGATTTGCATTTCTCTGAGGTTTAATGATGTTTAGCAACATTTATATGTCTGTTTGCCATTTGTATGTTTTCTTTGTAGAAATGCCTCCTCCTGGCTGGGTGTTTCATGCCTATAATCTCAGCACTTTGGGATGCCGAGATGGAAGGATCACCTGAGGTCAGGAGTTTGAGATCAGCCTGGCCAACATGGCTAAACCCAGTCTCCACTAAAAATATAAAAATTTGTCAGGCATGTGTTCTGCATGGGAGATCCATGAGGAAGAAGAAAAGGCACACACAATACTTTTAAGGGTAAACATCTTTTGTCTCAATTATATGGCAATACAGATATAATAAGTAAATGATATGATAAGCAAATTGATATGAGAAGGGAAAAAATATATATATTTTTTATATATATAAATATATATATTATATATATATAATTATATATGTATTTATTTACATTTATTTATTTAAATAATTATGTACATAATTATATAATTATTTTTATTTACAGTTATATGTATAAATTATATACATATATATGTATATATATATATATATACATATGTTTACACACAGCAGACTACAGAGTATGGAGGAAGCATCACCAGACAGAGAAGCAATAGCCTGGGCTCCAGAGTCAGACACTACACTCACCAGACTATGGAGGATTCATCAACAGACCGGGAAGCAACAGCCTGGGCTACAGAGTTGGCCCCTCATCCCTGCAGAGATGGGGAGAGGTCTCAGGAAGCTCTAGTGCCATCTGGGACCCTAGCTCTTTTTGTAAGGAGTTCTTTGGCATAAGGCCGGGTAACGAGGACTCTTCACTACTGGGCTCAAAAACCACAAAAATGTCAAATTTTTGGCGATTGTCTGTTGTTTTTCAATAACTAACATACAGGAACAGATTAAAATAGAAATTTCTCTGAGACACTGGTGGATGAACGCCTGAAGAAACTCACAGAACCTGTTCCGGGACTTGGTGACCATTGTTTGTGTCCATGTTCAATTGAGATAAAATTGAGTATTTAACTTTTCTTCCAAATTTGGCTTCAATTTGATACTCAATTGTAGGAAAATACCCTTACAGATACTTGGGGAAAGCATACTTTATACAGATTACAGATTCAGTGTAAGCACAGGAGAATTAAAAGCACAGTTAATGAAAACCACACCCACCATGGCTGTGCAAGGAGAGTCGTAGTGTGAGAATTGTCAGGGATATACACACAACATTCGGTATGCAGTAAGGTACAGGGACGATTCTCCAACGTAGCCCATTTTTGGTGGCCTCTGGCAATTCCACGCATAGCCAACATTGACTGCAGTTGGCTTCTGTTGCAGTGGTGGCTATGCAGATGATGAATTTATTCTTGGCATCAGACACAGAGACACAGGTACTGACCATTAGTAAACAGGTTATTCTCTGTAATAACCAAAACAGAGGGGAACATAATATTGTTTTTCATCTTTAGGAAACTGTACTATGCCTTCAGTTTCTTCTCCCATAGCTACAAGTTCACCAGCCATAGGAGTAGGATGTGATGGACGCTGTACTCATATTTTGGCTCCAGGATTTAAGCTACGTGTACCAGTGCGTCTGAATCTCCCAGTTCTGTATGTAGCCTCTGTTGGGGCAGAGACATCCTCAGGGGTTAATTGTTGACAAGGTACCACTAAAAATTGAGGAACCCACATCTGCAGTTTTACAGCAAAAGATTCTCGAGTGATATTGTATACAATGATCTTTAACTCTCCCCTGTAACCACTCTGAATTATACCACCATACATTATGCCGTTCATTGCAAGACTTGAATGTGTTTTAATCCATTCATCCGCATTCAAATTTGCAACTATGGTGGAAATTTTGGCCTGTTGATCTGTCTGCTGATTAAATAGTCTGTCGAGAAAGCAGAGACACATGAGCATCAACATGAAAAACAGTGATAATGATAGTGTGCACCAGGATTCAGGTATCTTCCCAGGAGTGTTTTCCCTCTTTATGCCTAATTAACCATTTGTAAAGATAAAATAGAGAATGAAGGTGGTGTCGGTGAGATTGGACATCAAAAGACACAAAAGGAATGTGACATGGTGACCTGAGAAAGGAATAGAGAGAGAAATTAAAATAGACAAAAAGGGGAATCAGCAAGGAGATGGAGGAGGCAGAATAGAAGAGGGGACTCAACAAACAGGAGCAGTTGGTGCAACAGAGGGTGCATCGCATACTTGTACAACGCTTCTTTCATTTTCTAGTTACTTTTCCTTTTAAATTTGTGTCAGATTTAGTTAAGGTGTCAACGTTTTTTTAAATCTTTTTATATACTGAAAATATTCTTTGCTGTTTAGTAAATAACTTTCAGTATTTCAATTTGCTCTTGATAAGAGTATTAATTTTTAAATCAACAGACAACATTCAGTAAAACTAGTTAGTCTAATATGCAGCAGCTTCTTCTCTTCCACATGTGATTTGGGAATTTAATGCACTGTGAGACGAAATTTCCAAGTCTATGATGTCTTTAAGTTCCCTTTGCTCTTTTTTTTTTTAGCAGATATTGAAGAATGGGCTGGCTGGGCATGAAACTTTCTTCCACCAAGACCATCTTTTCATGATAAATACATTGTCCTGAGTTATTTTTATAGCTAATCCTCTTTCTTGTTTCCAATTGTCAATTATTACATATTTTCAACTTTATAATTTTGGAAGTTCGATGTGATTTCTCAAAAAAAAGAAAGAAAAAAAGAAAATGCTTGAGTTTAATGTGATTAGAATAACAGAGAAGTTTCTCCTGGTCAAGAGTATAAAATTTGGTCTGAGACCTTTAGCCAGTGCTGGTGACTCTCTGCTGGCCTGTCCTCATCCTATCCCTCCCTTCCCAAACATACACTTACACAGTCACAAGGCAGCTGAGGAGAGGAGAGCACAGACTTTAAACTCTGTATGTGTATATATTTTAAGATAGAACCTTGCTCTGTTGCCCAGGATGGAGTGTAGTGGCACTATCTCGGCTCACTGTAGGCTCCACCTCTGAGTTCAGGCGATTCTCGTGCCTCAGTCTCCCAAGTAGCTGGGATTACAGGTGCCTACCACTATGCCCAGCAAATTTGTGTGTTTTTAGTAGAGTCAGGGTTTTGACATGTTCCCCAGGTTGGTATCATACTCTTAGCCTCAAGCGAGCCACTGGCCTTGGCCTCCCAAAGTGCTGGAATTACAGGCATGAGCCACAATACCCGGCCTGTCTTTATATGATTTCTTTGGCTGTAAAGAGTATCAGTGGTGTCTGTACCTTTCTCAGTGGCTTAGGGTATCGTTTTTAGCAGAGGCTGTGGTAAAGTTTTGCTGGGAATAGGGGCACCAGAGGTTTAGTCATTGGATCCCAGTGGTGGCAGTGGTGAGCTTACCATGCCTGCTTTTGGGTCTCAAGGCAGTTATGCTGGCAGCAGTGTTAACAGGTCCAGGAAGACTAATTATTTGGCCTTCATGTGATTTGCTCAGGTGTCAGCAGTGAGCAAGGTGGGTGGGCAGCTTCTTGAGCCCCTGGACAGTGGTTATGGCATGGATGATGGCAGTAGCAACGACAAGAAAAACCTCTGACTCCCAAGCGTTCCATGCTGGTGTTGGTGTTTGCTGTGATGGGCTGGGAAGGCCAGTTTCTAGGAACACAGGTGGTGTATATATGTGGGTATCAGCTGCGTTAGTAGCTCCAGGTTCAGTGAGTCCATCCTCAGGTCTCAGAGAAGAGTGCTCAGGTGCCAATCTTGTTAGACTTCACTGGACTGAAGTCCATATTTTAAGCACTATCTGGCTCCACACACTCATTGGCCGTTCTTATCATCACTCTGAGCCCATTAACCCCGCAGCAGAAAAACATCAGGAAAGTTTTTAATATTTCTTCTTTGGGGCACAGTATGCAAGGAAAGGAATTGTATTAAGAGATGAAGTAAGTACTCTTATTAGAAAAAGGAACACTTTGGGGCCAGAAATGGACCAGTGTCCAAGGCATGCAGAAAGCAGGAAATAATTACCGGGTCATGGGATGGAACTATGGAGAGTGACTAAAGTTTCAAGATCATAAACCAGTCTTTAGTTGCTCCTAATTTAATTTAATGCAATCCTCACTCTTTGTCATCATTTGGTTTTAATGTATAAAGCTATGGGGTCTGCTTATTGTATGTTTTGTAGTATAATTTGGAAATTAATCTATCAGCTCTTTTTTCTCAGCCCAGTTGGTGTCTTGTCAACTCCTCTGCACGAATTGCTTCTTGTTTTCTCACAGTCCAGCCCTATGTTCTCATGAGCTGTGACCCTGGGGTATCCAGGCTCTGGTTTGCCTGCTGTGGAAAAAGTGCAGCTTTCTAAGCTGGTCACATATCTCTACATTAAATGTACATTGTCTTTTTAAAGCAATGTTCAGACATTCATATATTCTTTCTTCCTGAGGTTTAAGCACCACAAGCAGCAGTCATATAATGGAGAGATTCTCAACAACAGAGTGAGTCTCTGCCATAATTGGATTTATTATACATTAGAAACAGCAGTTACATACTAAATGTTTTACAAAGTGTTTTTTATAATTTTTATTTCCTTAAATATTGCAAATAGAAAATTTAGAGGTCCAACATTTATTTAAAATTTGGCTCTTGTAATTTGCAGTGGAAAGCTTATATGAGTATCTACCTCTAAACCAATTAATTAAAAATGCTCTGGGGTTAACTGGGCACCAAAGTATAAGAAAATTTTAATTAAGTGAAAAAGTCTAAGTAATGACCAACTAAGGAAATAAAAAGGAAATTATACTTTCAACCCCCTTTCCCCCAGTTGCTCTATGCTCTATTTTTTTTCTATTGCCAAGTTGTACAATTTTATTTTTGTCCTTGATAATTGTACTTTATTTTAACGTGACTAGATTATATTTTATTTTATTTTATTTTATTTTATTTTATTTTATTTTGTTTTATTTTATTTTAATGTGACTAGATTTTGCCTCACTCCAGGCTGGAGTACGGTAGCATGATTATAGTTCACTGTAACCTCAACTTCCTGAGTTCAAGTAATCCTCCTGCCTCAGCCTTCTAAGTAGTTGAGACCACAGTTACATGCTATAATGTCAAAATAATTTTTAAAACATTTTCAGTGACAAGGTCTTGCTTAGGCTTGTCTCAAACTTCTGGCCTTAATTGATCCTCTGGCCTCAGCATCCCTAGCAGCTGAAATTTCAAGTGTGAGCCACTGAGCCCAGCTCTTTATTTTTATAAATATTTATCTCTTTAGTTTTTTCTGAAGCATTTTCAACACCTTCACCTGAACTTTCAGGCTTTCAACTCACAGTTGATTTTATCCATTTTGCTATTCATCCTATTTATTCTATTGCTTATATACTTTTGTAACATATTTAATATTTTGAGTTTTAAATTCTTGATACTTATATGTATGTATTTTTAGTTGTCTCTTTTGCAAGGCTGCGATTCTCTCTAGAGAAGAGAATGGGCTCTATGCTTTCTTGAGAAAAGCATTTTATAACATGGGAGTAAAACAGACCCTGTGGAAAATAAAATAAAAGGCATTTTAATCATGATTTTTTATAAATTGCTATTTGGGAGACACAAATTTAGCAAGAAGCTATATCATGTTCCATTCAGATGAGGTTAGGGAGGGACTTATAAAGTTTTACTGCAAGTTTACACAAGTGAAAGATTTTAGCACAGTCTATGATGGACAATGTTTGATTGCCAGCTTAGACTGTATCTAGGCAATCATCAGCTTAATTCAGCACAGCTTTCTCTCCAGGAGGTTTGTGATCAGGCTCAGTATAAACAATCCAAGTCAAATGCAGTTGCCTTTTTAGGACATCTGTAATTTTCCCAGTTCGAACAGGTAAAATTCCACCTGGGTGTGTATGAGTATTAATTCAACTCCTCATGTCCTCCTAGTTGTCTTTAGAGACCTCTCAAATAACTATCTCCATTTTGGATTTCTTTTAATTAGAAATAAAGAGCGCAAGGATTATCACTGGTTGGGAATATAGAAAAATAGTGCCCACCTGTGATTCATCGGACCCCAGTCAGAGAGAAAAGGCCAAGATATGCCTGACAGAAAGGCTTGAGGACCTTTAGGTAATTTATTCCTCAAAAAGAATTGGTTCACACCTGTAATTCCAGCACTTTGGAAGGCCAAGGCGGGCAGATTATTGGAGGTCAGGAGTTCAAGACCAGCCTGACAAACATAGTGAAACTAAAAATACAAAATTTGCTAAACATACTAAACGTACAAAAATTAGCTGGACATGAAGCTGGGTGCCTGTAATCTCAGCTACACAGAAGCCTGAGGCAGCAGAATCTCTTGAACCCAGGAGGTGGAGATCGCAGTGAGCCAAGATTTTACCAATGTACTCCAGCCTGGGTGACACAGCAAGACTCTGTCTCAGAAAGAAAAAATTGGATAAAGAATTGCCCTAATGCTGGGAATTTTACCTCATAGGTAGTAAAAATATTTACAGAATAAGGCCCAGGTGTAGCCATAAAGTGGCATTACAATTCTTTCATTCTAGATAAGAAACTAACTTAAAAAAAGAATAGAAATTCTAAGGTAAGAGACAAAACTCTGGGAGGATTTACATCTAAGGTAAAGGCTCAATCACAGGACACCAGAAGAAGATTGAGAATGCAGCTTCCTTTCTGCCCTGCATCCATTGTCAATAGACTTTCCCTGGCCTTCTCCTTTTGACTTTGGTCATTTTATTTTATAATGTTTTTTTCCACATAGACCTGATGCAACTCCAGAGTTGGAAGAAAAAACAACAATGTCCTAATAGTTGCTTAGAGGAAACCTCAGCAAGTGAAGCAGAAGTTGATTTATTTTTTGTAAAATCATAGAAAGGTATTCATCCTCCTGATCTCTGCAACTGCTTTTTAAAGAAATCTATATTTCCAAGACTGTCGCTATGCTTTGTGAAAATACCTTCAAATTATTAATTCTGCAAGTTCGAATGATCTATCTTCACTCTTTCCTTGGGTTAATATTAAAATGAACATATGCTCTGAGAAAAATGGACCTGGGTGTCTTATCCGGCAGCCAGAAACTATGACTGCTTTTCTCTTCTTCCTCATACATTATGCTGCCGACTCTTTAGGATTTCATAATTCAAGGAGAAATGTTAGAGTCTGTATCTCATTTAAGCTTACACAAGTGAAATAAAAAGAACCACAACCACAACTCCGATTTTGTAGTAGAATGAGATTTTCATATAATATTCGACTCTAGCATTTACTATTTACGAAAAATAAATATTTCCCCTCCTCTCTGGATAAACACATTCTGGGGAAGAGCTCTCAGGGAGATGGAGAAGAGCTGTCTCTTCTTCTTCTGATTTTCAGTTGTTCCAGCAAATGTCTCACAATATTCTTTACATTGAAGCTGCAGGAAATGAACCAAAACACCAAGTGCCTTAGTTGGGCCCTGCTGCTGAGGAAGAGGCTGTGTTTGAGCTGGTCTCAGTTTGCCCTGTCACTGACATAGGACTCTGTACTGGGGCCCGGCTACTAGATGGAAGGGCTAAATTATGTTGGGACTTCCCTCAGAATTATGGCTCACCCTCCTCCCTCATCTGCATTCTGAGCTCCAGGCACTGTGTAGAGCACTCCGTTCATTGACAGTTCCCATGTATCCCTGATATGTGAGTCATCAGCACGGCTGCACTTCACAGAGGACAAAATGAAATCGAGGGGAGGAGAGGCAACTCTCGCCACCTGCAGGACTGGTCAGTGGTGGAGCCGGGATCCCAGAGTCAGCTTTTAGGATCACTTCACTCACATTAAGCCCAAAACTTCACTGAGCCTTTTAAAATAAAGGGATACTGATTGTCCCACCTCACAGCCCTCGGGTAAAGCTAGATCAGGCTCAATGTGGAGGGCACTGAGCACAGCACAAGTTGCATGTGAGTGGGGACTGTCATTGTTTCCTGGGGCCCTCAGGTTTGGAGGTTTCCTGCCATGTAGTGACAGCTGGCTTAGGGGGCATTAGGGGAGGGGCTTCCCCACAGTTTGTTGCAACAGCCACCTGGCTCAACCAGGAATGTTCCAAAGTCATCCAGATAATTTCCCAGATGACCACTCAGTCATGTGGTGTCCTACTACCCATGGGATACAGCCTAAACTTTTTATCATAGGAGGAATAATTTCTAGTGTCTGACAGCACAGTAGGATAACTACAGTTAGCACTAATTTTTAGTATATTTTAAAATAGATAGAAGAGATGGCTTTAAATTCTCCCAACACAAAGGAAATTTTTCAAACACAAAGAAAATAATATCCATGTTTGAGGTGATGGATATTCTAATTACCCTGATTTGATCACTGTACATTGCATGCATGTATCAAAATATCACTCATGCACCACAAATATATACTATTATTATGTATCAACAAAGGGAAAATTGCTAAAAGTGGCTCCCAACTAAAAAAAAAAAGTCAATTTCTAAGTCACAGAAAAAGATGCTCACTTTAAATTGTAAGTTCTGTGACAGAATGTAAAGGTTTGCATAGTCACTTTTACAGTCCCAGACTATCATGCATAGAACTGCCTGGCCCCGTGTGTATGTACACACAGAGATACAACCATGCTTCTCTAGTGGGGCATTTTTTTCTCCCTGAAACATTTGCCAATGTTTGGAAACCTGTCTTGCTGTCTGGTTATTTTAGTAAATTGATTGTGACTGTAATTAGGCCCAATTTAATGACTGTAATTAGGCCCACTTGCTGTCTGCACATAGATGATCAGGGGCAAGTAGTCGAAGATATAGTTAAAGACATGATGAAACTGGCACATGTGCCAGTACAGGTGTGGCACCGATTTGACACTGAGGCCATGTTTGAAAATGGTTCCCGGCACTAGAAGGATTTAAAACTCTTATAATGGAAACTATAGTAGTAATAGGAACCTGCTTACTGATCTCTTGCTTACTAGCTGTACTCATTCAAGTGGTAAAAGTTTTCATGGCAACTCTAGTTCACCAGAACGCTTCAGCACGAGTGTACTACATGAATCACTATCAATCTGTGATAGAGGAAGACATAGGTAGTGAGGAAGAAGGTGAGAACTCCCACTAATAAAATGAGTGAGAGTCTCAAAGGGGGAAAATAAGGGAGGAGACCAACCCTCATATTGTCTTATACCCAATTTCTGCCTCCAAAGAAAGAAGAAGTAAAAACTAGAAGGCAGAAATGAAATCCACAAGCAGACAGCCCAGCGCCACACCCTGGGCCTGGTAGTTAAAGGTCAACCCCTGACCTAATCGGTTATTTGCATAAAAAATGCACTGTGAAGATCCCTGTCCTGTTCAGTACCTTTCTAATTACCAGTGTATGCATCCCCCAGTCACATACCCACTGCTTGCTCAATAGATCGTGACCCTCTCATGCGGACCCCCTTAGAGTTGTGAGCCCTTAAAAGGGACAGGAATTGCTCACTCGGACGGTTCAGCTCTTGGGAAAGAAGTCTTGCTGAAGCTCCCAGGTGAATAAACACCTTCTTTCTTTAACTCAGTGTCCAAGGGGTTTTGTCTGCAGCTCTTCCTGTTACATTGGGAGAGGCCAATGTGGGCAGCGACATGGGGAGGCACAGATCCCTTAGTGGTGGCTGTGTGCTCTGAGGCGAATGTGGGGAAAATCAGACCTAAGATGCTTCATATGGCTGATAGTACCAGCTTTACAGCTGCAGCAGTCTGCGACAGGGGAAGGCATGGTCCTGGCTAAGCAGCATCTGAAACTCCCGCAATAGGACCAGGTCTGGTGGACTCAAGAGTGAAAGTCAGAGTGAAAGTGAACTGCAAGAGAGGAAATGAGAGTGAAAACATCAAAAGTGGCTCCTTTGAAAAGCATAATAAAGAATTTTAAAAAAAGAGTTAGAAGTGATTATAGGATGAAACTGAGTGTTCAAAAGTTAAGGACATACTGTGAATTAGAATAGCCCTGTTTTAGTGTCAGATGGCTTGCCAAAGGCACTATAGAAAAATTGGCCGTGTGTTTTAAGGTGGTGACTAGGGTCAGAGAACAGCCAGGACATTCAGACCTAGTCTTTATATTGACTCATGGCTAAATGAATGCAGCCCTGCCTAGCAGTTTACTGTAGAATGCTCGCAGCTCACGGCAAGAGAAAATCAGCTGCTCTGGCAGCTACAGAGTTAAAAGGAGACACAGAGGCTTGTAGCACCTCCCAGCCAAAAGTGAAAGTAAAATCAGCTGCCCCAGCAGCTGAAGACAAATGAAAAAATCTCAGAAAAGGCAGAAAAACCGGTTTTGTAACAACCACAGAAAAGAATAGAGACCGCTCCTCCTTACATTCCAATCTACCCCCTTTACCAAGGTAACTGTCCCTAAGGAGTTAAGTTCAAATGGATACATGCTGCCAGTCTCACCCGAGAAGGTGAAATGAGAGCGAAAATCAGGCAGGCCGTCTCAGGTCTGGTCGTGCATAAGATATGCTCATGCCTCTTAAGAGGACAGGAGGACCCCCACTAGGACCCAGATGATGCAGTCCAGATTCAGCACCTACAAAGGTGCCGAGAAGCCCATCTGCAAAGGCTAAAGGATGGTAAAAGAAAAAGGCAATCAATATTTTTAAAAATCTCAGACATGCTTCAGGGTGCAGATAAAAGCACAGCAAGTTCTATGAAAGACTTTGTGAGGCATTTTTATTGTACACTCCGTTTAACCCTGAGGCTACTCAAAAATCAGTGCAGGGTGAATCCAGCACTTGTAAGGCAGACCCAAGGAGATATCAGGCATAAATTGCAGAAGTTACAAGCTCCGTAGGCGAGAATGCTACTCAGCTTATTAAAGTGACAACCAAGGTGTTAATTAACCGAGATGAGGAGGCAAAGGAAAAGGCTGATCACAGGCTTAAGAAAGGCTAACTTACTAGCAGCAGCCCTTCCGGGAAGAGGAGCTGGCTTTACAAGGAGGCATGGACGCGGGCGTGAACGTAGTCATGAAAAAGGCTAGTCTGGACAGGAGTGTGAAGGCCAGCCGAGGCTAGAGAGAGATTAATGTGCATGGTGCAAAAGGAAAGACACTGGAAGCATAAATGTCAAAGAAATAATGAAAATGATCAGGGCAATAGTAAAAGAAACAAAAAACAAACCAAAAAAACCCAAAAAAACAGAACCAAAAAATCACACACACACACCAGCCAAGGGCTACTACACGCAGAAGAAACCCAAGAACCACTGCACCTGCTGTAGAAGGCAGAATAAAAAGTGTCAGAAAAAAGCTCAAATCTCCTCTAAAAGTGTCAATATTTAAGCTTTTATATAAGCCAAGAGGAAAGATGGCTTAGTCCTGAAAAAAAGCAGGCTGTTTGTGCACTTTCTACTCCAACCACCCGGTGTCAAGTAAGAGAGTTTCTAAGAGCAGCAAGGTTCTGCCGCGTTTACAACCCAAATTTCTTGCTCATGGTCAAGCCATCATACCAAGCCACTAAGAGGAGGAAAAAAGGAGCCCCTCCTCTAGGAGGCCAAAGAGGAGAAGGATTTTAAAGAAATCAAAGAAGCCTTGACTCAGGCCCCAGCTTTAGGACTGCCAGATCTAACTAATCAAGCTTTTCTTCTTGTATGTCCACAAGTGAAAGGGAGGCCATAGGGGTTCTGACTCAAGCCATAAGGTCATGGCATCGCCTGGTGGCATATTTATCCAGGCAATTAGATTCTGTTGCACTTGGATGGCCTCCTTGTCTTAAAGCACTAGCAGCCACTGCCGTACTGGTGCAGGAAGCTAGTAAACTAACTTTAGAGACTGTGAATACCCTAAATCCGGCTACCTTACTCTCATCGAGTCAGTGCCAGGAGGACCGTTTCATTGTGGTGTGGACGTGGTAGATGAAGTGTTCTCAAGCCAGAGAGATTTGACAGATCAGTCCCTCAGGGACCCAAACATTGAATATTCTACTGATGGAAGCAGTTTCATACTAAAAGGAGCCCGCCAAGCTGTGTATGCAGTGGTGACTTTAGACTCAACAGTAGAGGTGCAGTCTTCATCTACAGAAACTTCTGATTAGAAAGCAGAACTAAGAGCTCTGACAAGAGTTCTCTGGCTAGCAAAAGACCAAAAGACCAATATTTATACAGGTTCCAAATATGCTTCTGCCACTTTGCATGTTCATAAGGTTATTTACAAAGAAAAAAAGAAGACTTTTAACTGCGGAAACAAAGAAATAAAGTACAAGGAAGAAATCCTACAGCTCTTAAACGCTGTATGGGCCCCAAAAGTGACGGTAGTGAAGTCCTGCAAGAGGCAGCAAAAAGCAAGAACACTAAGGGCTAAAAAAGATACGAAGGCAAAGAGGCAAAGAAGGCTGCAATGACAACTCCACCTAAAGAAGATGCCTTAGCTATGCCTCTCCTCCCGGAGATTCCCCTCCTGGAGATCCCAATCTTCACTCCAAATAACAGAGCTTGGCTTCCCCAGGAAAATAAGAACTACATTGAAAGAGGATAATACAAATTCTTCAATGGGAGGCTAGCCATACCTGAAATGGTGACCCCCAGATTTGTAAAACAATTCCACCACCGAACTCAGATTAAAAAAAAAATAAAGACATTATTAAGGCATCATTTTTATCTGCCATGGCTCATTGCTATTACTCGGGCCATTTGTAAACTGTGTTTAACTTACACTCGGAACAATCCACGACAAGATCCTACTCGGCCCATGGGAGTTCAGGAAAAAGGAGCCATGCCCTGTGAAAAACTGCTAATGGACTTCACTGAATGACCCTGAGACGGGGGCTATCAGTACATATTGGTGTTCATTTGCACCTTTTCAGGATAGCTCAAGGCCTTTCCCACCAGGACAGAGAGGGCACTAGACGTGACCAAGGCGTTAAGAGACATTGTTCCCAGATTTGGGCTGCCTCTAACTCTAAGATCAGAGAATGGACCAACATTTGTGGCTAAAATAGTTCAGGACTTAACTCGACTATTAAAAATAAAATGGAAATAACATACAGCCTACAGGTAGCAGATCTCAGGTAAAGTGGAGAGCATAAACTGGACACTCAAGCAGCTGTTGAAGAAATTTTGTCGAAAAACTCATCTGAAGTAATATCAGGTCTTGCCCATGGTCCTCTTATGAGTCAGGTGCACCCCCACCAAAAAACTGAGTATTCGCCCTCTGAGATTTTGTTCAGCTGCCCACCCCCCAGAAAAATCAGATTCAGGGTAATCTCTGTAAATTGGGAAAACTAACTTTAAGAAGGCAAATGCAGGCTTTAAGTATGGCTATACTAAAATGCATGGTTAAGTATGTAAAAAAATGCCTATAAGTCTAACAGACCCAGTACACCCTTTCAAACCTAGGGACTTCGTTTAGGTAAAAAATGGAATTCAACCACTCTAGGACCCATATACGATAGGCGCCATATTGTAATCATGTCTACTCCCACTGCTGTTAAAGTTGCAGGTGCCACACCTTGGATTCACCATAGCCATCTAAAACCAGTGACAGTAGCGAGTCGTGATGACAACCTGTGGATTAGCCAACAAGACCCAGATTGCCCCACTCGAATAGCCCTATGGCAAATCTCAGCCACCGGTAAAAAGGACAACCGCCCTGCTCTGACCACACTGGAGGCTGGTCAGTCTAAGCATGGCTGAAGCTTAAGGATTCTTCAAACTCTGCTCTAGTCACATCCCGGAAGCTGACTAGTGTACACACAGCCGAAGCTAAGAGGACCATGTCCAGATAAGTAAATGTGAATACAATTTATAACCATAGTTACAATTCTGTCAATACTGATTGTTCCGTTGTTATGTTATTACTGCAAATGCTGCAAATGTCTATGCCCAGAGGAAAGTTTTTGTGCCCATGTGTAGTGTAAGCATGTTTCTATTACATACAACAATGTTGTTACCATTTATGCTTATACTGAAAGGGGATAAATCTCTTGAAGGATGTCCATGCTGTGTACACATTACCTGGATAAAAAATACCACAGTTAAAACTCTACTGTACCATACCTACTATGAATGTACAGGAAGCAAATTAGGAATATGCATATACAACCAGACCACCTATTCAGTCTGTGACTGAGGAAATAATCAGCTATATGTATGTTATGAGCCTGGGCTCTTACCCTATTAATTCTATTTTGAGGTAAATATTATATCAGAGGGAGAAACAGAAGGAAAGCTTATAGCTCAAACCAAAGAAATCCCACCCTTCTAAAAAGGGCCTATTTCTTCTTTGATGACTGCCATGCCACGTATGTTCATAATCCTAAAAACCAGATTGTAAGACAAGGACATGCGATCCTTTAAATTTTACTATCTTAAAGCCAGAGCTACCTTTTTGGTCTACAGGACAGACAGCACTATTACCAGTTGATAGACAAGGAGCAGGTCTTGGAGTTCCACTACTAATTGTCAAAAATACTATAAGGACTCAAATGCATCCAACCCCTCAATACCAAGTCATTCTGTAAGCATTTTGATCAGCCAGTGCCCGAGGTTCCCCCATCAACCAAAAACTTATTTGCTCAACTAGCTGAAAACACAGATGGCAGCTTAAAAATTTCTTCATGCTATGTATGTAGAGAAACTAATATGGAGAATGAGTGGCAATGGGAGGCAAAGGAATTAATGCCACAAGATAACTTCACTTTGCTTAACCCTGCCAGTGAACCAACAGCCTCAGCCAGTGTTTGATTGTTAAAAATCTCCATAACTGGAAAGTACTGTATCACTCGATGGGGAAAGGCTTTCACAGACGCAGTAGGAAAAACAACCTTCCTAGGGCAACAGTATTATTACGAGACTAAAAACAAAACTCTATGAAGAAATGCCCAGAATGACTCCTACTTACCAGATCCAAACACTTTCTCTGGATTCCTTACTCTAAGCTGCACTTGGCATCAGGTAGATGATTCAAATGCTTGAAAGGCACCCTCTGGCCTATATTGGATCTGTGGAGCATGGGCATATTGGCAACTGCCAGCAAAATGGGCAGGGACATGTCTGTTAAAAGCAATCAAGCCATCCTTCTTTCTAATTCCTCTAAAGCAAGGGAAATTCTTAGAATATCCAGTTTATAATAAAAATAAAAGAAGAACTAGAAAAAGCATAATCACAAAAGTAACAAAAATATCAAAAAAGATGTGGACACAGGAGACTAAAAAGATAATAAATGACCTCCTGAAAGAATCATGACATGCTATGGGCCAGCTACCTAGGTGCAAGACAGGTCATGAGGGTACTGCACCATAATCTATATCCTCAGCCGCATCATGAAGTTGCAGGCAGTCCTTCAAATCATAACCAATGAAATATCGAGGGCACTAGATTTATTGGCAATACAAGCAACACAAAAAGGAAATGCTATATATCAAAATAGGCTGGCTTTAAATTATCTCTTATCCTCCGAAGGAGGAATATGTAGAAAATTTAATTTAACCAACTGTTGCCTAGAAATCAATAGCCAAGAAATCAATATTAGTGGTCATAAAAATTACAGCTAGAATGCACAAGTTGGCCCAGGTTCCACTTCAGACTTGATCCAGGTAGTCCCCGGATTCCTTGTTTGGAGGATGGTTCTCAGCATTTGAAAAATTCTAAACCCTCATTAGTAGGTTCTTGCTTATTCTTTGCATCTGCCTTATCCTCCCTTGCCTTTTGTCTCTGTTTATTAGGAGTATTCAGTCAACTATGGAGGCAATGGTAGCCCAAAACACTACTGTACAGTCTGTACAGTTGATGCATTAACCAGATATCAGCCACCGCCAGAAGAAGAAAAAGCTCAGCTCCATGAAGACTTGGCAAATAATGGTGCTTTCTATTAACACCTCTGTTATAAAAAGCACCAATGGGGAGAATGGAACAGGAATTATAAGAGATTAAAGAGTGTGTAAGCAGAAACTCACTTGTGTGTAAGAAAACCCAACTTCTGTTGAGAAAGAGTAAGAGCTGGAGTCCTTTAAAAACTAACTGCCTGTTTTTCTGTGGCTAGTGATCCTTATCTCTCCTCCTTTCCCAGGGATTGTGAAGACCCTGTTTCCCAAGCTGTGAAGCTGCAAGGTCACTAGACAGATAAATTCAAGTCACAAAACAGGTTTTTCCTTGAAAAGTAAGAAATAATGTAATGCATGTCTCAATTGAATAACTGTCTTTGTTTCTTGCTTCTGTAGTATGATTCTCCCTGCACAAATCTCTCCCCACCCATGAAATGCTTAAAAGGTAACTTAACTCTTTGTTCAGGACTCATTCTTTGGATGTTAATCCACTGGACCAGTGCACCTAAATAATTAATAAATACCCTCCTGAACCCCATCGGCCTCTCTGATTTCTTAAAATTCCACTACATACAGACTTCTCTACTATTGACCCCCACATTCTTTTCTTCCACACAGGAAGTCCACATATAAAATCGTGTGTGAAACTATTCTATTTGAGGTGTATTTCTGTGCCCTAGGATCCAGATAATCCCTTACATTTTAAATTCTTGCTTTTTTGTGGCTCACAGTATGATGTTATCAAAAATTAGGCAAATATTCTGATACTTTCTTAATTTTACAAGGGGGAGAATTGTCCTTAGATAATTACATTCTGGAAAGGCCATAATGAGCAACTCTGGACCTGATTGATTGTCATTTTTGGGTCCACTGCAGGGCTGCATACTAAGGGACAGTGGTCATTCTGAGTTCATAGAAAAAACCTGACATGAGAGGGGACATTTTGCTAGACATGCCACCTGGTGCACAGAGCTGAAAAATGAGACCTGCTGGTGACGTGCTTATCAAGCTTAGGGTCTTGAGGGCTTTTTAAATTCAGTGCTTTAAAAGCTGGCCTCACATCCTGAGTTCAGAAAAACCAAAATTTTTTGTTTTCTATAGACTTTTTGGTTGAAAATCCCTTTTCCATGGACTTTTAAACTAGTTATTTACAGCACAAGCCCCATGTCTAGTAACAAAGGTGTCAGCCATCTTCAAAATGTGTTTTTATTAATACTTTATTTTTAAGCTTTATTAACTAAAGATATATTTATTTATAGTCACTTTGAGTCTCCAGGATAAATATTAGTCTTAAATTGTTATTTCTCATAAAGTCTTGGAGGTTGCTAAGTTCTACTGTTTTGCACGTAAAGAATCAAGAAACTCTTTAGTACAATATTAGAAAATACTTGTATTTACTTAGATTTTATAGTACTATTTTTATTTTTCTTTTTATTTCTTAGATATAGGTACTCAAATTTCTACAAACTGACAACATAATATGCTTACTTGAAAATATTACCAGAATAATTGAAGTTGATAATTAAAAATGAAAGATAAAAAATGTGAGAATTGCTGAAGCCTTGTGGTGGGTATGTATGATAAATGTTAGTTTATAATTCTCCCTATGTTTGCTAAGATTTTTTATTTTCATAATATCTTTTAAATATATAATTTAAACATCTTCTCACATGTTTTATCAATAAATTTAGGAGTTCAATATTGAATTTGAGTGTTGAAATTGGTTACAAATGAGGGACAAAAGAGCAGCTTTCTAATTGGCCATACACTAAAAGTACCAGCAACTGTGGACAGGGGTGCCACTAACACACTTTATTTAACATTTTTGCTGTGAGTCATTTTTGATAAGGAATATTTTAACCTTATGATGACATCATAACAAGTTTCTAATAATCAGTGACTCAGAGTGGTCTTCAATAGTGTACTATTATTTAATTTACATTTCTGGCCTGGTAAATCTAAGCAGGTAATTTATGTCTATTAATACATTTTACAATTGTAATTTTTTTCTTATAACTATTTGCCATGAAGATTTTAATGTTATAACTATATCTTTGTCTTTTCCTCTTTATTTAACATGCCTTGAGATGAACAATAAATGGGTTTGGTTTTACAGTCTGTGACTTAGTTCTCCAAAAGTCAACAGTTTCATTTGGAAACATTTTAGAGGGATATAATCTTATAACAAAACCATCACATGTTTTAAGTGTACAATTCCAAGTTCTTAAAGTGTATTTACAGACACCCATAACCACAATCTAATTTTGAAATCACCTTATCACTATGGAAAAAGAAATTAATCTCTTTTGTACTTACTGATTTCATTACCCTGGTCATAGGCAATCATTAGCCTGTTTTTATATATAAGCCTTTTATTAAAAGTTATTTTAAGTGAAATCATAAATTATCTGCCCTTTTGCATTTGGTTTATTTTACTTACTTTAGTGATTTTGAGGTTTTTTCCTGACATAGCAGGTATTATTACTTCATTTTCTTTGTTTGGCACATAGTATTTTATTGTATGGACACACCACACGTTATTTTTTCTGTTATTATTTGATGGATATTTTGGTTTTATCCCCTTTGGGCTATTACAAATACTGCTCCTTTGATCATTTACATCTGATTCTTTGTGTAGTCATAGGTTTTCATTTCTTTTGAGTACGTAACAGAGTAAAATGTCTCAGTCATATGGTGATACTATTTATAGCATTTTGAATAATTGCCAAATTGTTCTTTAAATCGGTTGTTTTTTACACTCCCACATACAATGTGTGAGGCTTTCATATTTTTGATATCTTTGGCAACCTTTTTTATTGCCTTTTACAGGTCTTCTAGTAAGTATGTCATTGAGCTTTTGATTTGCATTTCTCTAAACTAATAATGTCACATATTTTAAATTTAATGACAAATTTTGCTTCTTATCTGTAGAAATTTTTAATTCAAATTCCTTGCACATTTTTCAAGTAGTCAATTGTCTATTTATTATTGATTTATAAGACTTTGTGTATTTGAGCAAGATGGCTGAATAGACAAACCAAGGTGGAACAGCTGACACCAAGGGACCAGGATGACTGGCACACTCTTAACCGAGGGCAGGTACTGATAGTGATGGAGGAAAGACACAACATCTGAACTTAAGATTCAGAAGCTGGGAACCCTGCACAGGGCTAAAGCACAGTGGAACTGATTTCTGGCCCCCAGTGACTCTGAGAAAAACAGGTGAGTTTAAGTGGCAAGGAGCTACCTGCTTTCCTGACTGGCCTCTGGAATCCCACTGGCAGAGACCCTCTGACCATCATGGAAAATGAGTTGAAAGGAAGAGCTGCTTAGAGAAGTGACAGGGGCAGCACACCAGCCAGTGCACAGCCAAGAGGGTTTATTGTGGGAACATGTGTAGTGAAGCATGTCCAGGGATGCCCACACCAATAAGCTTAACTTGCTCCCATAAGAGACGTTAGCCCTAGGGGAAATTTTGGACAAAAAGTCTGCAGGGTGGTGGCCCATCAGATGGGGCTGTTTTGACCTGAGCTTGCGTTGGTGTGCTGGCCTCTCCTGCGACCCCAATTCGGCCCTGCATGCTTGCAGTGCAGCCTTGAGTACCCTGGGGGCCTGCATCATAGATCCTGAACTGGCAGATCATGTCTGACTAGTAGACAGCTCCAGTGGGGTGACCCCATCCAGGCATCAGCCTGCCTGCTGCCTCTCCTCACTGCAGCTTCCCCCCAAGGCCCATTGCCACCCCACACATCACTATGCTGGTGTGTGTGTGTGTGTGTGTGTGTGTGCATGGAAGGATCTTGCTTTCCCTGTCCTGTCAGTGCACATGTGCATATGCATTCTGCCCTGGCACTGCTGTTGGTAGGAGTGTACTCCAGGCCCCCTCTCCTGCTATACCACCACTGCAGACAGAATCTTGGGGGAAACAGAGGCCATCTGCCCCACAACACCAGCACCCTGCTCCTTTGTCAACACTGTCATTTGAGTACAACTAAGCACAAAAAACAGCATACTCTCCTCAGCCCTGAGCAGCCACCTTCGCCTGCATGAATACACACAAAACCACTTGACTGAGCCAACCTTATAACACAATTAAACCCTTAAGGTCATCAAGCAGAATAAAAGGAAAAATCCAAAAGTTGACAACTTCAAATATTAAAGAAATATCACCCCAGAAAGATAAGAAAGAACAAGCACAAAACCTCTGACAACTCAAAAAACCTGAGTTCCTCTTTTCCTTCAAATGGTCACAGTACCTCTCCAGTAAGGTTATAAATCAGTCCAAGATAGCTAAAATTACAGAAATCAAATTCAGAATATGAATAGAAATAAAGATCATTAAAATGCAGAAGTAACTTGAAACTCAATTCAAAAACGTTAAGAATCATAATGAAATGATACAGGAGCTGAGAGACAAAAGAGCCAGTATTAAGAGCATAACTAACCTGAGAGAGCTAAAAAAATCACACTAAATTTTTTTATAAGAAATTCACAACTATTAATAGTAGAATAGACAAAGCTAAGGAAGAATCTCAGAGTTTGAAGACTGTTTATGTGAAGTAAGACATACAGACAGAAATAAAAAAGAGTAATAAAAACCCCCAAGCCTCTGAAAAATATAAGATTATGTAAAGAGACCAAAGGTATGACCCACTGGTGTTCATGAAACAGGTGGGGAGAATGGAAGCCATTTGAAAAACATATTTTAGGATATCATTCATGAGAACTTCCCCAACCTGGGGAATGCTGGCTAGAGAGGCCAGCATTCAAATTTAGGAAATGCAGAAAACTCCAGTAAGATACTTCATAATATAATAATCACCAAAACACATAGTTATCAGATTGTTCAAGCATGAAATAAAAGAAAAAATGTCAAATGCAGCTAGAGAGGAAAGGGAGGTCAACCACAAAGGAAAGATTATCAGTGTAAAAGTACGCCTTTTAGCAGAAATCCTACAAGCCAGAAGAGACCAATACCAATATTTAACCTCCTTGAAGAAAATAAATTCCAATCAACAATCTCGTATTTGGCCAAACTAAGCTTCATAAGTAAAGGAGAAATAAAGTTCTTTTTAAACAGGCAAATGCTGAGGAAATTCATTACTACAAGACATGCCTTACAAGAGCTCCTGAAGGAAGAACTAAATATAGGTGAAAAAAACCTTTATTAGCCACTAAAAAAACACACTGAGGTATACAGACCAGTTGCGCACAAACAAGTCTGCATAATAAGCAGCTACCATTATAATGGCAGCATCAAATGCACACATATCAACACTAACTATGAATGTAAATGGGCTGAATGTTCCAATTAAAAGGCAAACAGTGGGAAACTGGATAAAGAACAAAGAACCAATGATATGCTGTCATCAAGACTCATTTCACATGCAATCAGTTTCATAGGCTGAAAATGACGGGATAAAAATCTACCAAGCAAATGGAAAACAGCAGAAAGAATGGGTTGCAACCCTAAGTTTAGACAAACAGACTTTAAAACAACAAAGATTTAAAAAGGCAAAAAGGCATTACAAAATGCTAAAGGGTTAAATTCAACAAGAATATATGTATTCATATTTAAATATATACATTTTAAATATATACACACCCAACACAGGAACACCCAAATTCATAAAGCAAGTTCTTAGAGGTCTTTAAAAAGACTTAGATTCCTACACAATTATAGTGAAAAACTTCAACAACCCATTGACAATATTAGATTATTAAGGCAGAAAATTAACAAGATATTCAAGATCTGAATGCAGCACTGGATCAAATGGATGTAACAGACACTTTCAGAACTCTCCACCAAAAACAACAACATATACGTTCTCATTGCCACATGGCACATACTCTAAAATCAACCACTTAATCGACATAAAACTGTTCTCAGAAATTATAAAAGAATTCAAATTATGACAACCACTCTCCGAGACCAGAGTACAGTAAAATTGGAGGTAAAAGTTGAGAAAACCAATACTCAATACCATATGATTACATAAAAATTAAATAACTCACTCCTGAATGACTTTTGTGTGAATAATGAAATTAAGGCATCAATCAAAAAGTTATTTGAAAGTAATGAGAACAAAGACACAACCTACCAGAATCCCTGAGATGCAACTAAATCAGTGTTGAGAAAAAAACTGATGTTGCTGAACACCCACCACAAAAAGTAACAAAGATCTCAATTTAACCACTCAATATCACAACTAAAACATCTAGAGAATGAAGAGCTATCCAACCCCAAAGCTGGAAGAAGACAGAAATAACCAAAATCAGAGATAAACTGAGATTAGGACACACACAAAGAAACTAAAAGATTAATGAATCCAGGAGTAGGTTTTGTTTTAAATGTGGACTACTAGCTAGACTAATATAGAGGAAAAGAGAGAAGATCCAAACAAAGACAATCAGAAACAACAAAGGGGATATTACCACTGGCTCCTCAGAAATAGAAATAAACATCGGAGAATATGATGAACACCTTTATGCAAAAAAACTACAACACCTAGAACAAATAGATAAATTCCTGGACATGTACACCTTTCCAAGACTGAACCAGGAAGAAATTGAATCCCTGAACAGACCAATAACATGCTCCAAAATTGAATCTGTAATAAATAGACTATCAATTTTAAAAAGCCCAGGAAAAGACGAATTCCCAGCCAAATTCTACTGGATATGCAAAGAAGAATTTGGTATCATTCCTACTGAAACTCCCAAAAATTTGAGGAGGATCATCTTCCTCACTCATCCTATGAGGCCAGCACCCTTCTGATATCAAAACCTGGAAGAAAAGCAAAAGAAAGAAAAATTTCATATCTTTGATGAATATTGATGCAAAAATTCTCCATAAAATACTGGCAAACCAAATCCAGCAGCACACCAAAAAGCCTATCCACCACAATCAAGTAGGCTTTTTCCCTGGGATGCAAGGTTGGTTCAACATATGCAAATCAATAAATGTGATTCATAATACAAACAGAACGAAAGACAAAAACCTCATGATTATTGTAATAGATGCAGAAAGAGCTTTCATTAAAATTCAAAACCACTTTATGTTAAAACTCTCCATATACTAGGTATTGAGGAAACATGCTTTGAAATAATAAAAGTCATCTATGACAAACCCACAGCCAACTTTATACTGAATGGGTGAAACTGGAAGCATTTTTCTTGGAAACTGGCACAAGACAAAGATGCCCTCTCTTACCAGCCCTGTTCAACATAGTATTGAAAATCCTGGCCAGAGCAATCAGACAAGAGAAAAAAATAAAGGCATTCAAATAAGAGGAGAGGAAGTCAAACTACCCATTTGCAGATTGTATTAGTCAGTGTTCTGTGTTTATGGATTGGAAGAATCAATATTAAAATGTCCATGCTACACAAAGCAAGCTACAGATTCAACGCAATTTCTGTAAAAATACCATTGACATTCCTCACACAAATAAATACAACAGCTCTAAAAAATCTTAAATTTATATATAATCACAAAAGACCTAGAATAGCTAAAGCTATCCTGAGCAAAAAGAATAAAACTGGAGGAATCCCATTACATAGCATACATTATTACATTACACAAAATTATACTACCGATGTGTAGTAACCAAAACAGCATAGTACTGGCATAAAAACAGACACACAGGAAAATGGAGCAGAATAGAGAACCCAGAACCAAACCATCCATCTACAGTGAACTCATTTTTTACATAGGCACCAAGAAAATATATTAAGAATAAAAACTCAGTCTCTTCAATAAACAGTGATGGTAAATCTGGATATCCATATGCAGAGGAATAAAACTAGACCTCTATCTTTTGCCATGTGCAAAAACTAAATCAAAATGGATTAAATATTTAAATGTAAAACTGCAAACTATGAAACTTCTGAAAGAAAACATTGGGGAAATTCTAAAAAACCTTGGATTAAGCAAAGATTTCTTGAGTAACACCTCACAAGCACAGGCAACCAAAGCAAAATGGAAAATTGGTATCACACCAAGTTATAAAATTTTGCATGGCACAGAAAAGAATCAACAAAGTCAGAAAACAACCCACAGAATGAAAGAAAATATTTTCAAACTACCTATCTGAAAATGGATTTGTAACCAAAACATAGAAGGCGCTCAAATAACTCTATAGAAAATAAAATCTAATAATCCTATTTTAAAAAATAGGCAAAATATGTAAACAGACATTACTCCAATAAAGACACGCAAATGGCAAATAGGTATATGAAAAGATGATCAACATCATGAATCATCAGAGAAATGCAAATCAAAATTACAATGAGCTATTACCTCACCCCAGTTAAAGTGGGTTTTAGCTAAAAGGCAATAACAAATGCTGACAAGCATGCGGAGAAAAGGGAACCCTCATATGCTGTTGGTGGGAATGTAAGTTGGTGGAACCACTATGGAGAACAGCTTGAAGGTTCATCAGAAAACTAAAAATAGAGCTTCTGTACAATCCAGCAATTTCACTGTTAGGTATATATCCAAAAGAGAGAAAAATCTGTGTATTGAAGTGATAGCTGTACTCCTGTGTTTACTGCAACACTATTCACAATAGCCAAGATTTGGAAGTAACATAGGTGTTTATCGACAGATGAATAAACAAAAAAGTGGTACATATACACAATGTAGTACTATTCAGACATAAAAATGAATGAGATTCTGTCATTTGTAAAAACATGGGTTAAACTGAAGGTCATTTTATTAAGTGAAATAAGCCAGGTATAGAAAGACAAACTTCACACGTTCTCACTTATTTGTTAAAGCTAAAAATTAAAACCAAAGAATTAATGGAGATAAAGAGTAGAATGATGGTCTCCAGAGGCTGAGAGAAGTAGTAGAAGGTTGAGGGCGGGGAGGTGGGAATGGTTAATGGGTATAAAAATATAGTTAGAAAGAATGAATCAGTTCTAGCATTTGACAGCACAAGGTGACTCTAGTTAAGAATAATTTAAGTGTACATTTTAAAATAACAGAAATTGTATAATTTGGTTATTTGAAATCCAATAGTAATACTTCATGTGATGAATACCCCATTGACTCTGATGTAATTATTACACATTGTATGACGGTATCAAAATATTCTATATACTTCATAAAGGTATACACCTACTATGCACCCAGAAAAACCAAAAATAAAAAAATTAGGATATACTTTAAGACAACAAATACTATTACTAGAGATGAAGATAGATTATAATTAGAAGGATAAATTCATGAGGAAAATAAATTAACATATATGAATGTAACAAAAGTTCACAGAAGTACATAAAGCAAAACTGATAGAAATAAAGGCAGAAATAGTTGCAACAATAGTTTCAACAATAAAAATTGCAAGCTTCACTTCCCCACTTACACTATTGGGTAGAAGAACTAGACATAAGAGAAACAAGGAAATAGAAGACATGAATAACATAAACCAAATAAAACTAGAGATATATGGAGAACTCTTCACCCCAAATCAGAATGTATATTCTTCCCAAATGCACATAGAACATTCTCTAGAATGGAGAATATGCTGCATCATAAAAAAAATCAATAAAATTGAAAGATTGAAATAATAAAATGAATGTTTTCTAATCACAAAAGAGAAAATTAGAGACCAAAAAAGCAAGAAATTTGGGAAATGCAAACATGTGTGCATTAAATGACACAATCTTAAATAATTAATGAATAAAAAATGTACAAATAGTGTCAGAGAATATTTTAACATAAATAGACATTTAGACAAAACATAATAAAATTTATGAGACTTAGTGAAAGTTGAGCTCTGAGGGAAACAGCAGAATTACTTTATAAAAAACAAAGAAATCTTAAATTAATAGCTTAACGCTTATGGAAGCATTTAAATAAAAATGAACTACCCAGTTCACCTGGAGCAAACACTATCAGTGGGGTAAAAAGGTAGTCACGCTGACAATCGTAGGAGGAAATACTTGGAAACAAGACACTGAGAATTAGGATAGTGATAGTACTCCTTGGAATCTAGAAAAAAATGGGGATGCTCTAGGCTAGACAGATTCTCAGGAAAAACGCTAAAACACTAAGCTCCCACCTGTTTGTCTTTTAATCTCTGCATGAACAGAAAGTATAGGCACAAGCAGAGTTAGGACTTTATGGCACACATAGAGATTCTAGATGAAAGGATCAGAAGATTCATATTTTGAGAGGGCTAAAATATCTACAGTCTTGCTGTCCTATTAAAGTTTAGTGAAACTATATTGCAGATTCGCATTGCTCACTTCTTCCAGTAATCCAGTGATCTAGTAAAGCTTGATTTTGCCATTTGAATCCTCTGATAAATGAAGTCAGCCTCTAACTTGAGGTACTTTTTGGGATGTTGGAGTTATGGTCACCATGACGTTACTATTGGTTACACTAATTTGTAAGTCAACAATGAGCTTGCTACAGAGCTGTGAAACTGAATTCTGACCCCTGAGGGAGGTCGTTAGCTTGATCTTTCTGTTTTTAGATGGGTCGATTTGAACTCTATGAAAAAGACCACAGGAGGCCACTTGGTAAATAGAAATAACATATTCTAGAAGGAAATTAGACTAAAATAGAAACGGCACTAAAGTAAAAATTAAAATTCATATTCGGTAGAAATTTTATGCCACCCTCTACTATCTCAAGCAAACTTTCTGACTCTGTGGGACTCCCCAATTTACTGAATATTTTCTAAATATCTGTTCCTGGTTCACTAATGGGCCAGGGAAGATGACACCTCATGGTGTTCACTGGGCTGGTGTGGGTGTTTGATCTCATTGTCAGCCAATGAGGAACCTGAATCTGGGGTGATTACTTCACTCAATTGTCAGAACTGAGAGTTCCGGGTTATTGCCACATTCTACGTGTTTAGGCTTCCATATTGAAAATGATTAACTGTCTAATTAAGAACATCTTCTTTGGGGCTGCAAACTGAAATTTATCTTAGCTGCTGATCTAATTGTCAGGCCATTAATTTAGAAGTTCACAATTAGGGTTATGTCTCCAAAGAGATGAACAACAATCAAGCCTAAATCCCTGTCTACTGCAGAGGTCATCACTGCATGCCAGGTTGGTGGTTCTTGGAGAAAGTTGATCTACGTGTCCCATGTATGGGGAAGTCCCAGACCATTTCTGGCAGAATGACTGTCTTAGACTTTTGACCCGTTACTTGAAGTATTTGTCACTACTGTTGACACTTTCAGCATAAAGATCAGCTGACTCCAGCCACATTATGTGTTACTTGAAGCTAATCCATGTCATCTTTTAGGTATTTGAGACCGCTTAAATTCTCTCTTTTTTTTTTTTTTTTTTTGCTTTTATCACCATATCTATTAAAATGAGCCAATAGTCTCATTTTAACTTATTTTCCTCATCAGGGTCCACAGCTTTTGGTTAGGTAATGTGTTGATTAAATGGTTTATTAGTCACCTTCTTTGGTCCCAGAAGAGATTATCTCCTGTTGACTGTCTCTAAGATATAGATAACATTGTTATTGAGTAAAAGGAGCTCACTTCTTGAAGTGCTAGAAGCCAATACTATGACATCAGGTTTTTAAGAGAAAGCAATTTTATACTGAAACGTTACTCTCAAGCTCATTGCCTCCTCATGGATGTCATGGGCAAACTGAAGGGGAGTTGTGATGAAACAGGCAGTGAAAATTCAGACGGTGACCTCAGCAAGGTGATTCTGCCAAAACACCATTTGGCCATAATGATTCCACCAATTTAAGCCAGTTTGTTTATTTCATAAGTAGAGGGAGTTTCAGTGTTTTGGCAAGTTGTGTTTTTGTTTTTTTTTTCTTTTCTGTTATTCTGCAAGCTCAAGATTTTCTGTTAGATACTGGCTTTCTTTTAACTCTGCAGAAGTGTTGCAAAATGATTGGGGCTATAGGAATCTATTTTCCAAATCTGAGTTTCCACACTGACATTCCTGGGCAAGATGTGATTTCTCCTAACTGCAACCTCCAGGCAGCCTGGTTTGTATGATTTCTGAGTAGCAGCCCAGTCAAAAAAGGGGTTATGGAACTCCAATTTAGTTCTGATTATGGTGTATATAAACATTCTTGTCTCTATTACAACTGGATCTACTACATAAAATGTCTACAGCAAAATAGGAGGGGATCAGATAAAGGTACAATTATAAGTATTGGAATGGATCACATTAATTCTGAGGATATAGAAGGGGAGCAACAACCTGAAACCAGGGGAGTGAACGACTTAGATCTCAGGAGCTATGGGAAATGGATAGGCATGAATAACCTCTTTTCCTTCTGAATTGCCCCTGGCACACTCCAGAAAAGTCTGGCAATAATTTTGGGATAGGATGAGAGTAGGGTTAGTTAGACCAGGTGGAAGTGCAAAGACTAAGTTTATTTTTTCCATTCCATCCCCCATATCACCCTTAAGAATCCTTTGGGCTGGGCACAGCAGCTCACACCCAGCACTTTAGGTGACCAAGGAGGGTGGATAACGAGGTCAGGAAATCGAGACCATCTGGCCAACATGGTGGAACCCAGTCTGTACTAAAAATATAAAAATTACCCAGGCAAGGTGGCACATGCCTGTAGTCCCAGCTATTTGGGAGGCTGAGGCAGGAGAATTGCTTCAACCTGAGAGACCAAGGTTGCTGTGAGCTGAGATGATGCCACTGCACTCCATCTTGGATGACAGAGGAAGACTCCATCTCAAAAAAAAAAAAATCCTTTGTAATTATCCCATTTCTCTGCAATGTAGTAATGAAATTCTAGTGAGGAGCATGCGTTCTCAGTGCCCAGTTGTCTGAGGCCACAGTTGAGTTGCTTCAGGGAAAAAACAAACAAACAAAAAAAAACCAAAACGAAAACACAAAAGCAAAAGCAAAAACAAAAACAAAAAACCCTATTGCTTTTGTTTTTTTCTAAAAAGATTAAATGCCCCATGGTTTAAAATAAGCTGGCTCTACAAAACATTGAATTCATCTTTTATTTTCTCTGTGAGCAGAGGCTCCTCCTTCTGTTTTTCTACCATCTAGAGATGAATCTATATTTGTCAATATTGACATAAATTGGAGACATAAATCATGTAAGAACCCTAGACAAGCCTTCAAAATAATCTGAGTCTTGCTCGTTTCTCTTCTCAATTATGTTGTCAGAGAGAGCTACCTGAGATGAAGTCTCTCAGGAATAGTTAGAACATTGCACTTCTAGAGAAGATGGTGAGACAGGGCAAGACTCACAGTGAGAATAAAAGCTTCTTCTCAATCTTTCAGTGTATCTGTTTCTGGTAGATGAATCCAGAAAAGATTCCAGAGCCAGGGAAGAGCTATTTGAGAGGGTAGAATCACTGTAGATCAGAGTACTAGGTCATATGTTTATTAGTCACCTTCTTTGGTCATATTCTCAGTGCTAAGCCTCTGATAGGGCTTCAGAGCAATGTATGCCTGTGAAAATCTCTAATTCCATTTGAAAGATGAAGTTCTGGCTCTGGGAGAAGTCTCCTATCTGACAGAACATCATGCTTCTGTGGGCATGAGATTCTGTGCCCTTCCTCAGCAGACACCACTGACTCAATAATTGTTTAAGAATCATGCATAAATAGGCCTTCCTTATCATGAATCTCTTAAATAACAAAACAGAGAAAACCCATTTATCCACGTTCAAATTGAATAAGAGTGTAAGAAACTTCACAGAAATTGTTATAGAAGGAAACTCTTGGGCTCTGTCCATCTCCAGAAATCTCAAAATTCTGGCACAATCTGTTACAATTAACCTTATCAGAGCTTGAATTTTTTTTTTGCTATATATATTTACCTTTAATTGGACCTTAATTTTGTTATATGTTTTAATTTAATTTTATTTTTTTGATGGAGTCTTGCTGTGTCTCCGAGGCTGTAGTGCACTGGTGTGATCTCAGCTCACTGAAAGCTCCACCTCCTGGGTTCACACCTTTTTCCTGCCTCAGCTTCCCTAGTAGCGGGGACTACAGGCGCCCGCCACCACACCCAGCAATGTTTTTGGACTTTTAGTAGAGACGGGGTTTCACCGTATTAGCCAGGATGGTCTCGATCTCCTGACCTTGTGATCCGCCTGCCTTGACATCCCAAAGTGCTTGGATTACAGGCTTGAGCCATCATGCCCGGCCAAGGATAAACCATTGTTTAACCTTTGTGATAGAAACATCAAATTCCCATATCCCAAGCATTAATAATACTGTCCACTGCAATTGTTATTGCTTATTAACTTTTTGCTATGGTCTGGATATTTGTGTTCCTCACTCTCCACATTCATATTTAAAAACTTAATCCACACGTGGATTCAGTGTGATACTATTAGTTATTGGAACTTTGAGAAAGTTATTAAGTCAGGAGGGCTGCATGTTAACGAGAAAATAATAGTGCCCGTGTGACGGAGGTTGAAAGGAATATTCATGCCCCTTCTGTCGTGTGAAGACATAGCTAGAAGGTGCTACTTGTGAGGAACAGAACCTCACAAGAAAGAGCCTCAGAAAGTTGTTATACAGCAGAACATCTTTCTCTCTTGAGAGATTCTGGCCAACAGTGCTGCATGGTGGACTGTCTTTAGAATGTGAGTTTTTGGTTACCAGAATACTTAGTACTGTTAGGACCTTTCACCAAAGAAATGAGGTCACTTCTTGAAGGTATTATTCTTCTTTCAATAAGACCTATCTTCCTTCAATAAGACCTACTCAAAGGCTTTTCTGCACTGCTGACTGCTCACCATTCTCTCCCAAGTCATCTGATTACTTGTGCACAATTATGCAAATACAGCACCTCCTGCACCAGTGCCGGAGGAAATGGAATGCAGCCAGAGCCACAAGTTTGAGGATACAAGCTGAGTTAAAGTCTTTATGTTTAATGTATTAATTATGTGATGCCAAGTATGTCATTGTGCCTCTCAGGGGCTCCATAGTCTCACAGCCTGCACAGTGGGGATTATGGTGGCATCCAGCTGCAAGGGATCTCATGAGATATGTATAAAATGATACGCATGACTGTTGGGTTTGATATTAAACACAGCTACTGCATAAACTTAGAGAAAGAAACTACAAGGGATGGGACATTGCTTGAATATCTCTCAAACATGCCTGGGTTTTATAACTTGAATCTTGAGAAAGTCATGTCCCCTCTTGAATTTATTTTTCAAACTCCACCATGAAAACATTGAAATTGAATAAAATTTAGATGTTGTTATTCTTTGGCCAGAACAACAACAATAACAACAACACACATTGTAGTACCTTCTCGTTATATTTAGAATCAGGCCCATTTGTCTCACCTTGGCATACGTAGTGCACAGCCTTCATGATGGCTCATAATAATTTTTATTTCCAACTATACACACCCAAATGTAAACAGTAAGTGGTTAGTGACTCACTTCATGGCAGTAGAATACATTGGAAAATAGGGAATGTCACTGCCAATATTTGATTATGAAAAGATTGTCACTTGCTTCTTACTTTCTCTCTCTTGTGATATTGTTTACTTCCTTTTTTCCTGTCTTTCTCTCTGTCTGTCGCATACTTTGCTCTGGAGAAGCGAGCTTCAGTGTTTTAAGCTTTCATTTTTACAGGCTTGTGTGACAGAGAATAGAGAGAGTGCCCTGACCAAAGACAGAAAGAAACTAAGAACTGAGTCAAAACAATAATGCACAACTAACCAGATTGAGCTCAGAAGTGCATCCTTCCCAGTCAAGCTTCAGTTGAGACACAGCTTCAGTCTCATGAGTGAGAGGTGACAGCATGCTGGCAGCCCTCACAGCCCTCGCTCACTCTTGGTGCCTCCTCAGCCTTGGTGCCCACTCTGGCCGCGCTTGAGGAGCCCTTCAGCTCACCGCTGCACTGTGGGAGCCCCTTTCTCAGCAGGCCAATGCCGGAGCCGGCTCCCTTATCTTGCGGGGAGCGGGCAGGAACCGCGGCTGCCCGCGGTGCTTCCGGGCCAGCGCGAGTTCCGGGTGGGCGTGGGCTTGGCGGCCCCGCACTTGGAGCGGCCAGCTGGCCCCGCCAGCCCCAGGCAGTGAGGGGCTTAGCACCTGGGCCAGCAGCTGCTGTGCTCGACTTCTCGCCAGGCCTTAGCTGCCTCCCCACGGGGCAGGGCTCGGGAACTGCAGCCCACCTTGCCTGAGCCTCTCCCCCACTCCTGCCAAGGGCTCCTGTGCGGCCCGAGCCTCCCCAACGAGCTCCACCCCCTGTTCCATGGCACCCAGTCCCATCGACAACCCAAGGGCTGAGGAGTTCGGGAGCACAGCGTGTGACTGGCAGGCAGGCAGCTCCACCTGCGGCCCTGGTGCGGGATCCACTGGGTGAAGCCAGCTGGGCTCCTGAGTCTGGTGGGGACTTGGAGAAACTTTATGTCTAGATAAGGGATTGTAAATACACCAATCGACACTTTGTATCTAGCTCAAGGTTTATAAACACACAAATGAGCACCCCGTGTCTAGCTCAGGGTTTGTAAATACACCAATCAACACTCTGTATCTAGCTAATCTAGTAGAGACGTGGTGAACTTTGTGTCTAGCTCAAGGATTGTAAATGCATCAATCAGCACCCTGTGAAAAGGGACCAATCAGCTCTCTGTAAAACAGACCAATTGGCTCCCTGTAAAATGGACCAATCAGCAGGATGTGGGTGGGGCCAGATAAGAGAATAAAAGCAGCTGCCCGAGCCAGCAGTGGCAACCCTCTCGGGTCCCCATCCACACTGTGGAAGCTTTGTTCTTTCGCTCTTTGCAATAAATCCTGCTGCTGCTCACTCTTTGCGTCCACACTGCCTTTATGAGCTGTAACACTCACCACAAAGGTCTGCAGCTTCACTCCTGAGCCAGAAAGACCACGAACCCACCAGAAGAAAGAAACTCCAAACACATGCTGACATTAGAAGGGAAAAACTCCAGGCACGCTGCCTTTAAGAACTGTAACACTCACCGTGAGGGTCCGCGGCTTCATTCTTGAAGTCAGTGAGACCAAGAACCGACCAATTCCGGACACATGAGGACATTGTGGTAGACCCATTCAACTAAGCTGTGTCAGTATTTGTAGCCAACAGAAAATAAGACATAATGCATATTTGGAATTTTAAGCCACTACACATTGAGCTAATGAGTAGAATTATTTTTTCTAATTTTATTTACTGATTGCCCTTAGTTACTGTATAAAAGTGCAATTTAATATTGTGCATTTATCTTGTATCTTGTGACCTGCTGAACTCATTTATTAGTTCCAGTTGATTTTTGTAAACTCTTTAAAAATTCTTGAATATAAGTTGATGCCATTTACAATAAAAGTTTATTTTATAAATTTAGAAGTTTTATTTGTTTTTATTATATAATTTCTCTGCCTAACACCTTTAGTTCAATTTAGTAGAGTAGCGAAAGTAGCCATGCTTATCTGTTTCCCACAACTGTGAGGCAAAGAGCCTAGTCTTTCATCAGCAAGTGTAATATTAGTGGGAAATTTTTATGAATCCTTTTTAGTAGTTCCAGTAAGTTTTTCCTTCCTAGTATGTTAAGGATTTTATAATGAATCAGTGTTGTTTGTATCACAAGCTTTTCTGTGTCTATTAAAAGGATCATTTTATGTTCTTCACTTTATCAATGTTGTGTATTAAATTATTGGTTTTTAGATATTAAGCCACTTCATTTGTAAAAAGATTGTACTTGGCCATGGTGTATAATTACTTTTACGTGTTTCTGTATTTAACTTATTAGTACTTTTTGAGAATTATGTGTCTTTATTTATCAGCCGTATGTACCCATATTAATCCTAACACATGATGGGTTTGTCTGGCTTTGGTATAGTAATATTGGCCTCATAAAGTAGTTAGGGGTTGTTTATCTCTTATCTATGTATGGTGTGTATTTGTAAAGGATTGGTATTTTTATGAAATATTTTGTATAATTTAACAGTTAAAGTATTTGACTCTGATTTTTCTTTGTGGTAAGATTTTTAAAATAATTTAATCTTTCATTATAGGTCTCATATCTCCCACTTCTTGAGCTTCATTTGTTAAATTGGGCCTATCAAGTTATTTACTTCTAATTTGTAACAATCCATGTTTCCAGATATAGGCAGCTGGTATGCCTGTTATGTGGGATAATGTAGCTTTGTGAAAGTTTTACGTATTATGTGGGATAATGTAGCTTTGTTAAAATCAATAAATAGCCAAGTTTTTACTCAGCTTAAGGATTGAGACTATAATTTTTATACTTCATACTTGCATGTATTGCCTGAGTCAAAAAAGCTATTACATCTAAAAGAAACCAGTGAAACATATCATTTGACATGAAGTTTTATCAAAATGACACATTAGCCTAACCCCTTTTTCACAAATATTTAGAAAAGAAAAGAATAAATTTAAATAAGATTACAAAATAATTTAGTCAATAAAGAATATTATAAGGAATAAAAATTTAATGAATCAGGGTTATTAGTACTTAGTAGCCCCTACAATGTTTTAGAAATTATTCTAAGTCATTTACCCACATATACTTAATAGCTGAGTCTAAAACATATAATACAGAAATTTGTTAATAATGACAAATTGAAATATTTACAATTATATTAAATGACATTAAGACCATCAGAAATCAAATGTTTAACATACAGTAACTAAATAAACACAAGTAATGATAACTTTATTAGAAAGTATGACTACTAGCAAGAGAGAAAAATTAATAAAATTTTTCAGCAGTGAACCAAAGATACACACTGTATGACAGAGGGGGAAAATAAATGGCAAGGGTTTAGGCCTAACAATATCATTCATTTTATGAGAGCAGAAATTCAACAGCTCATATCTTTTAGGACACTAAAATGACAGTAGAAATTCTAAATTGTACTCAACAAGTAATATTTAGCCATGCACAAATTTTGTTTCATTAAATTAATTTATAAAATAAATATAAGATTTCATGAATTATTTTTGTGAGGTCAAGGACATACTAAAAGGAAGCACAGAGTTCTGTTCTCTGTAGTTAAGTATATATTTTCATAAAGGCACATAAAAGAAAATTTTAAGTATCAAAAGAACTACCCCTTACAAGTGACTATTACTACATATTTGAGAGAGATGTTTTGAATGAAGAAACGGAATATCTCATAAGATGTGGTTGTATGCTGCCCAATGCCTATGAAATATTCTACTCATGTGTACACTGCATATTTGTGCTTTCAGAAGAAAAGGCTACATATTTTTAAATATTTTAGTGTAGACAAGTAAAAGTTCTCAAGAAGCTACAAGAACTATGAAAATAATGAATACAGTTTAAAAATATAGAAGCACTTGATGAAAGCTAAAGTAAATCAAGAGAATAAGCCAGAGAAGTAATCAAACTGAAAAAAAGTGGTCCCTTCAGATACTGATAGATCACAAGGATGTCAAGTCTGTATGCTGTCCACCTTCCTCCAAGGGAAAATGGAATAAGCACAGAAATAACATGACTACAGACATCTCAAATGTGATATTTCCCAAATATTGGAACCAAGTTAAAAACTAAAGAACACAAGTAAATAAAAAGAAATTTCTGAAGAAAAACTAGGCCACCATTTTCCATATTCAAATATCATATTTGAATCACAGCTCGGTAGAATGTAAAGAATAAAAAAATTAGGACAAGGTATAGGTGAAACACTAAATTAAACAGAGATAAAAAATTACCTGAGTATTGAATAGAATGAATATAACCAAATATAGTAAAGAGAGATGACATATCATAAGATATAGTTTTAACAAGATAAAGGCTGGGATGAGACGCTAAACATCTTAATTATTTTATTAGAACAAAAAGTATGAATGAGGCAGAGCAAATAAGGCCAGCCAGATCCAAGATTTGGGAAAAGAAAATCTTTCCCTCCATGGAAGCAGCCTCAAGTGTACATTGCAGAGGGCCCAGATCAGAGAGGAATGAGAAGTGGTTGCCATTCTTGCAATCAGTGTTATCCGTTTTCTTGCAGCCCAGGTTTATATAACTGTTCTAAGTCCAGTAAATTGTCTATAGCTGCACATCTATTAAGAGGCTGAGACAGCAGTCAGGACCAACTTTGCTAAATGTCCATAAACTACTCTACCTCATGGAAATTCTCTGGATCTTGGAGACTCTGGAGAGTGACGCTTCTGCAAATAGAGGCATAATTTATTTGAGATTTTTATCCATCTGTTATTATCCTTTACTGTTAGGAATAATCTTCTCTGAAAAATGCTTTTGACCCACCTTGGAAGGTCTTTTAATAGTTTGGGAAAGTGGGGCATGGCAAGGTGGCTCATGCCTGTAATCCCAGCACTTTGGGAGGCTGAGATGGGTGAATCATGAGGTCAGGAGATCCAGACCATCCTGGATAATACGGTGAAACCCTGTCTCTACTAAAAATACAAAAAAGTAGTCGGGCGTGGTGGCAGGTGCCTGTAGTCCCAGCTACTTGGGAGGCTGAGGCAGGAGAATGGCATGAACACGGGAGGTGGAGCTTGCAGTGAGCCGAGATAGCTCCACTGCACTCCAGCCTGAGAGACAGAGCAAGACTCCGTCTCAAAACAAAAAAAAAAAAAATTGGGAAAATGGCTGAGGGCTGAGGTTAGAAATCCAAGGTAAAACATTATGTTATATATTTTACATCATAGAAGAAATTTGAGAACACATAGAATACAATCCGCTATTCATAATTTTTTTTGAGCATTTTCAGGCTATGTTTTTGACATAGACTAAGTTGAATTACTGTGCCAGAGACAATCTCGTGTCTAAAAGCAAGTGACATAAAAATAGATCTGCAAAGATACATTTTCTCCCGCTTTAATTTAAGTAAACAGCTGAGTACATCTTCAAGTTGTACTTTGAGTTCAGTAAGATAAATCTGTTTTTTAAGACTCCAAATCTAGCACTAACAATGGGTCAAATCCCTGCAACAGACATGAAAATCACAAACAGCTAATGCGTTCCTCATCCTGAAATTCTCGCTGCCAGCACAGCAGTCTGAAGTTGACCTGGGCCAATTGAGGTCAGTTGGAGGGAGTGGAGTCCACCATTACTGAGGCTTTAGTAGACAGTTTTCCCCTGACGGTGCCAAGGAGGCTGGAAGGTCCGGGTTGGGTGCAGCAAAGTGGCTGTGGCAGACTGCTTCTTTAGAGTCCTCCTCATTGGGCAGGTCATATTTGAAGGAAAGGTAACAGCCCTAGTCAGAGGCTTACACAGAAAACCTCTATCTCCCTGGGACAGAGCACATGGGGGAAGGGGAGGCTGTGGGTGCAGCTTCAGTGGATTTCATCATTCCTGCCTGCTGGCTCTGAAGAGAGCAGCTGATTTTGACTAGAGGGATTCTGCCAGCACAGTGCACCAGCTCTGCTAAGAGACAGACTGTCTCCTCAAGTGGGTTCCCCGTGACTCCTGACTGGGAGAAACCTCCTAACAGGGGTTGACAGACACCTCATACAAAAGGGCTCCAGTTGGCATTGGGCGGGTATCCTCCTGGGATGAAGTTTCCAGAAGAAGGAGAAGGCAGCAATCTTTGCTGTTCTGCAGCCTTTACTGGTGACACCCAGGTGAACAGGGTCTGGATTGGAACTCCAGCAAACTGCACTGGACCTGCAGAAGAACCTTGCTGTTAGAAGAAAAACTAACAAGCAGAAAGCAACAACATCAACATCAACAGAAAGGACCCACCCAAAAAAAACCCCATCCAAATGTCATCAGCCCCAAAGATTGAAAGTAGATAAATCCATGAAGATGAGGAAAAAACAGCACAAAAATGCCAAAAATTCCAGAAACAAGAATGCCTTTTCTCCTCCAAATGATCACAACACCTCTCCAGTAATGACACAAAACTGGATGGAGAATGAGATTGAAGAATTGACAGAAGTAGTCTTCAGAAGGTGGGTAATAATAAACTCCTCTGAGCTAAAGAAGTATGTTCTAACACAATGCAAAGAAGCTAAGTATCTTGATAAAAGGTTATGGGAACTGCTAACTAGAATAACCAGCTTAGAGAGAAACATAAATGGCCTGATGGAGCTAAACAATGCCTTTAAGTTATATGGGACTATGTGAAAAGACCAAACCTACGATTGATTGGTATACCTCAAAGTGACGGGAAGAATGGATCCAAGCTAGAAAACAAACTTTAGGATATTATCCAGGAGAACTTCCTCAACCTAGCAAGACAGGCCAACATTCAAATTCAGGAAATACAGAGAACATCACTAAGATACTCCTCGAGAAGAGCAACTCCAAGACACATAATCGCCAGACTCTCCAAGGTTGAAATGAAGGAAATAATGTTAAGGGCAGACAGAGAGAGAAGTCAGGTTACCTACAAATGGAGGCCCATCAGACTAACAGCAGATCTCTTTGCAGAAACTCTAGAAGCCAGAAGAGAGTGGGGGCCAATATTCAACATTCTTAAATAAAATAATTTTCAACTCAGAATTTCATATCCAGCCAAACTAATCTTCAAAAGCAAAGGGGAAATAAAGTCCTTCACAGACAAGCAAATGCTGAGGGATTATGTCACCACCAGGCATGCCTTACAAAATCTCCTGAAGGAAACACTAAATATGGAAAGGAAAATATGGTTCACCACTGCAAAACCACACCAAAATATAAAGACCAATCGATACTATGAAAAAACTGCATCAACGAATGTGCAAAATAACCAGCTAGCATCATGATAACAGGATCAAATTCACACATAACAATATTAACCATAAATATAAGTGGGCTAAATACCTCAATTAAGAGACAGAGCCTGGCAAATTGGTTAAACAGTCAAGAATCTTTGGTGTGCTATATTCAGGAGACACATCTCACATGCAAAGACACACATAGGCTTAAAATAAAGGGAAGGAGAAATGGCAAATGGAAAGCAAAAAAAGCAACAACAACAACAAAAAAAGCAAGGTTTCAATCCTAGTTTCTTGTAAAACAGACTTTAAACCAAGATGAAAAAAGACAAAGAAGGGCACTACATAAAGGTAAAGGGATCAATGCAACAAGAAGAGCTAACTATCCTATATATATACCTACCCAACAGAGGAGCACTGAGATTCATAAAACAAGTTCTTACAGACCTATAAAGAGACGTAGACTCCCACACAATAACACTGGGAAGTTTTAACACCCCACTGCCAATATTAGACAGATCAATGAGACAGAAAATTAACAAGGATATTCAGGATTTGAAATCAGCTCTGGACTAAGCGGACCTAATAGACAACTACAGAACTCTCCATGCCAGAAGAACAGAATATACATTCTTCTCCATGCCACATAGCACATATTCTAAAATTGACCACATAATTGGAAGCAAAACACTCCTCAACAAATGGAAAAAATGGCAACCATAACAAACTGTCTCTCAGACCACAGTGCAATCAAATCAGAACTCAGGATTAAGAAACTCACTCAAAACCACATAAATACATGGAAATTGAACAACCTGCTCCTGAACGACTACTGAGTAAATGACAAAATTAAGAGAGAAATTAAGTTTTTTTTGAAACAAATGAGAACAAAGAGACAATGTACCAGAATCTCTTGGACACAGCTAAAGCAGTTTTAAGAGGGGATATGCTAGCACTAAATGCCCACAACAGAAAGCTGGAATGATCTGAAATCGACACCCTAACATCACAATTAAAACAACTAGAGAATCAAGAGGAAACAAATTCAAAAACTAGCTGAAGGAAAGAAACAACTAAGATCAGAGCAGAACTGAAGGAGATAGAGACAAGAAAAACTGTTCAAAATCAATGACTCCACTAGCTGGTTTTTTGAAAAGATTAACAAAAGAGACGGACCACTAGCTAGATTAATAAAGAAGAAAAGAAAGAAGAAACAAATAGACACATTAAAAAATGATAAACAGGATATCACCACTGATTCCACAGAAATAAAAACTACCATGAGAGAATACTATAGACATCTCCACACAAATCAACTAGAAAATATAGAAGAAATGGATAAATTTCTGGACACATACACTTTCCCAAGACTAAGCCAGGAAGAAGTTGAATCCCTGAATAGACCAATAAAAAGTTCTGAAATTGAGGCAGTAATTAATAGCCTACCAATAAAAAAACGCTCAGAACCAGATGGATTCACAGCCGAATTTTACCAGAAGCATAAAGAGCAGCTGGTAACATTTCTTCTTAAACTATTCTAAACAATTGAAAAGGAGGGACTCCTCCCTAATTCATTTTATGAGGTCACCATCATAATGATACCAAAACCTCGCAAAGACACAACCGCAACAAAAATTTCAGGCCAATATCCCTCATGAACATCGATGTAAAAATCCTCAATAAAATACTGGCAAACTGAAACCAGCAGCACATCGAAAATGTTATCCACCATGATCACGTCAGCTTCATCCCTGGGATTCAAGGCTGGTTCAACGTATGCAAATTAATAAATGTAATCCATCACATAAACAGAACCAATGACAGAAACCACAGGATTTTCTCAATAGATGCACAAAAGGCCTTAGATTAAATTTAATATCCCTTCATGTTAAAAGCTCTAAATAAACTACGTATTGACGGAAAAAGTCTCGAAATAATCAGAGCTGTTTATGACAAACCCCTAGCCAATATCATACTTAATAGGCAAGTGCCGGAAGCATTCCCTTTGAAAACCAGCACAAGACAAGGATGTCCTCCCTCAGCACTCCTATTCAAGATAGTATTGGAAGTTCTGGCCAGGGTAATCAGGCAAGTGAAAGAAATAAAGGGTATGCAAATAGGAAGAGAGGAAGTCATATTGGTACCAAAACAGATATATAGACAGAGGGAACAGAACAGAGACCTCAGATTGCAGGGATATGGAGGAAGCTGGAAGCCATCATTCTCAGCAAACTAACAGGAACAGAAAACCAAACACCACATGTTCTCACTCATAAGTGAAATTTGAACAATGAAAACACATGGACACAGGGAGGGGAACATCACACATCAGGGCTTGTCAGGGGGCAAAGTGAAGGAGAGCACTAGGACAAATATCTAATATATGTGGGGCTTAAAACCTAGCTGACAGTTTGATAGATGCAGCAAACCACCATGGCAAATATAAAACTATGTAACAAGTCTGCACATTCTGCACATGTATCCCAGAACTTAAAGTATAAATAAATAAATAAATCTCCAGCAAGGAAGGAAACCAGAGATCAGGTTGGAGTCTTGCTATTCACATCTGAGTATACAGACTCACTCCCCAACTCTCTTATTTTTATTCTGCCAGCTCTGACCTGAATATGAACATAACAAACACACAAGAGTTCCAACACCTGACAATCGGCTTCTGCCCAAGAAGTGTGCCCTCTCTTTTGTCCATCCTGCAACTCATGGTACAAAGAAGTGGTGTGGGGCTGCCCAGATGAGATGATGAGAGAGGCCTGGCCTCGATGGACATGTCCTGGGCTGCTCTGTGTTATCTGTAGGTGCACTTGGCCAATGGCCAGGGGTATCAGGAATGAGGGCTGAGTTGATATCTGTGTTATCAGAGAAGGCTTTTACATTGAGGCTTTGTAAGGCTAGAACTCAGAAATATCAAGGCACAATGAAAGGACATCTCACTCTCTTGAGCATCTCTCACCAACAGAGGTGGATACAGAGCTGTCTCAAGAATGTGGGTTCCTGGTTTCTTAACTGCTGTGGGGTTCTGTCACCAGGAAAGTGTGTTAAACTCTTCAAGGTTCCATCTACTGGGCCCCTTATTTCTATAAGACCTACCCAAAGGCCCCACTATGCTATTGATTGCTCAGTCTCCTCTTCCATGTCAACTCTTTATTTGTACACAATTATGCAAACACAACTTCCCCTTAATTCCCTGGAAAGACCTAAATGCATCCTGGGTTCCAGGATATAAGAGACAGCTGGAAAATAACCTTGTTTTTCTTACCATCTCTGGGACCTAATAAAAGTCACTGTGTATTTGAGGCTTCCCCAGCCTCCTAGCGTGCACAGTGGGGATAATGTTATCTACTTCCTAGGGAATGTATCAGATGTATATAAGATAAAATGTAAAAATCGTGGTGTAGTTTCACATGTAAATAATGCACACACTTAGAGATGGAAGCATTAGGAGAATAGGTGGGAGGTAGCATGGGCCACAACTCAGGTAGGCCTGGGGTCCAGCAGTGTAATCTTGGGAAAGTCACTTCCCCACTGGGCTTCAGTTTCATTCTGCTGCAGTACGAGGTTGAAATTAAATGTAGATATCATCCTCTGGCACTGATGTGGTTTAGCTGTGTGTCCCCACCCAAACCTCATTTTGTATTATAACCTCCAGGTGTTAAGGGAGAAACCTGAGGGGAGTTGATTGGATTATGGGGACGGGTTTTTCTTATGCTGTTCTTGTGATAGTGAGTGAGTTCTCAAGAGATCTGATGGTTTCATAAGCTTCTGGTGTATCCCCTGCTCTCACTCACTTCACTTGTTGGCCACCATAATTGGAAGGTTTCTGAGCCTCCCCCACCCAATCTTGTGGAACTGTGAGTCAATTAAACCTCTTTTCTTTATAAATTACCCAGTCCCAGGTATTCCATCATTGCGGTATAAAAATGGACTAATACAACTATTAAACTTTCTAGTGACTTCTTATTATATATAGAATTATATCCATGTGCCTTATCTCACCTAAGTTGGGGAAAGCCTTCACAAAGTCTCCCAGCACTAGGTGGTTAGTGACTCAGTTTGTTATTGAACAAAATGACCTACTGCTCGATGCCAGTAGTATGGCACTTGGGTTTTGAGAAAAATGGCATCTTGTTGTAGGTTGGCCAACAGGAGACAGGAGTCCAGCTGAAATCAGTTTCCTTATATAGGCTTTAAGGTGTTGATTAAAAAATGCTTAAGAAGTGGGCTCTGGATTAGGAGGGGATTGCTGGAAGGAAAGTAGTAATATGGAAAGTCATGAGACATGCACAGTCATCTCCTCTTGTTTCCTCACAGGTCACATGAATATTCAGGGAGTGTTAATATGAAACATGCAACGGAAATTTGGGCTCTAACATCAGCAAACTCATTCTCCATGGACTTCAGTTGGCCATATTGCTTCCAACATATTTCAGCCAATTTTTTAAAATCTTATAAGCAGAGGAGATTTAAGTGTTTCAACAAGCTGTTTCTTATCTTTCATTCTGAATATCCAATTTTTAAGTCTTTTTTTTTTAACAGTTTGAAGGCACAAATTCAGCTTCTGTCAAATGGAATACAGAATAGTGTATGACTTTTGTATTAGTTCAGGCTGCTATACCAAAGAACCATGAACTAGACAGCTTATAGACAACAGGATTTAATTTCTCACACTCCTAGAGGTTGGAAATTTGAGATCAGGGTATCAGCATGGTTGAGCTCTGGTGATGACTCTTCTGAATTTCAGACTGCACACATCAAATTTTATTCTCATTTGGTAGAAGGAGACAGACATCCCTCTGGGGTTTCCTGTGTAAAGCCAGTAATCTCAATCATGATGGCCTCAACCTCAGGAGTTAATTACAACCTATCTCCTTATAGCATTACACTGGGGGTTACAATTTTAATACAAATTATTGTAACTCTCAAGTTTTTTTAAAGCTGTCATTATTCCTCCTACTGGGTTTTTCCTATTTGCTTCCTCAGTCTTTCCATTTCTTTATGTCTCTTTGTGTGAAACTGTTTGCCTAATTCTGTCTCTCAATTGTATTCCTCAAACAGAGGAAGCAAGCTCCAATGCTATGAGATGCTCTATGTACAGACGCACATAACAAAGAACGGAGGGAGTGCTCAGGCAGTAGACAGAAGTAAAGTCATGCTCTCAGTCTACCCTGAACCCTGCCAATTTTCACAAGCATGAGCTTAAAGGTTGATGCTTTTCCGGTCCACATTCAGTTGAGACCACAGCCCCAATCTCATAAGAGACCTGAAGGCAGAGGCAGCTAACTAAACTGTGTCCAGATTCTGGTCCACACAAATTGTGAGATACTATATACTATTGAAAGGTGCTAAGTTTTAGGGCAATGTTGTCAGAAAGGAGCAGATATCTAGCCTCATCTCCCAAGCCCCAGGATTCTCCATGCCTCTGCTTATCTCTTCCTCAGGCTGTCTGTACCAAATTGGTCCCTTTCTAATCTCTGCCAAACTCACACCTGTAAGACTCTTCACCAAGGGTGGCTTCTCACTGACACATTCTTGTGCAGAGATGCCTCCCTGTTATCATTCTCATCATGGATTAAAGATCACCTCAGTGAGGACTTTGGGTCCCCCCATTCAATGACTTTGCAGCTCTTCTTCTCAACATTCTACTTTATATAATAGTCCTTGCTCTTTTCTTTTATATATACTTGCTTTAGTGCTTTTGTCGAGCTGACTTCAGACTGTTCTGTCCTTGGAGGGGTATGCAGGCATGATGTAATCATTTTCTGTGCCACATGTTGGACCCACCAGGGTAGCTGGCAAAGGGTGAGTGCAAGGGAAAAAAGATTGGCTAAGTGGGCAATGTGGAAATTGTTGATAATAACATGAGGTGTGTGACTCTTACTTGCTCCAGCTGCTCCAGCAAAGCTCAATAGGCACCAGAAACACAGCAGGCTGTAACCACCTCCAGGCCATCACTAACACTGCAGCCCCATGCAGGAACATTATGGAACAAATCAGGTACCATTGTTTTGTGTCCTCAAGACACTGACTCTTTGGAGTTCCAGAGGACAAAGGAGCAGAATCTGAAGGCTCCAAGTACACTGAGTGACCTTGGAATCCTCCATTGCCCTCTCTTTGCCTCCACCATTTGGAGTGTGCCATTTACTCATGAGGCACCCTCCCCTTATCCAGGGAAATTATTTAATACGACTTTCAAATGAGGAGCTCAAAAACCCAACAGGAACTGGCATTTTCCCATGACTTCAGACTCAGGGTCCAGTGTTCTGACACGTTTAGCTCTATCCCATCTTTATCTACCCAAAATGCCTCTGGAGTGGCCATGCCTCTCTCTGATTTGAAGGGCCTCCAGGGAGTAGAAGCATTTCTGCAGAGTTTCAGAGCAAAGAGTCTTAGTTCACCAATGAAGAATCAAGGCTGGCAGACACTTATGAGTATGTGAAACAATCAAGGTTACCCACTTCGAGCACCCCTATTTATGAGGAAGAAAACAGTCTTCTCTGTAGCCATTGTCTACATTAGGCTGAGGTGGAGCATAGCTCATTTTACTTCCAGCTCTCCACAGAAGTGGATACAGAACCCCAGTCCTGTCCTCTTGAAACCGACCTGGAGAGGACCCCATGTGAGACACAACCCTGGAACTGCTCATTCTCTGTGCCCCTGGATATGTATCTAGGGAAGCGGATGCCCTTGCCTTATGGCAGATCTGCCCGCCCAGCTATTCATTTGTAATACATGGCCTTTAATGCTTTGAAGTGAATTTACTTTACACCTAATTTGTTGAGAGTTTTTATCATAAAGCGATGTTCCTTTTTGGAAAAAAGTTTTATTCGTCTATTTAAATGTTATGCTTGATCCTGGGTCTGTCGTTCTGATCAGAAGCTGACAGGTGCATCCATTCCTAGAGGAGAGCATGAGAACATCAGTTCTCACATTCTGTGATCATGACCTGCTTATAATGTCCACTCTGAGTGTCTGACTCCCTGAAGTAAATTGTGGCCCAGGAACTGTCATCTGTTGTCTTCACTGAATTAGGCCAAGTGTCTGGAAAACTGCGTTATATATATGTGATGAATAAATAAGCCCTAACTACAACCTTTTTAGCTATGTCTGAGTGTGCCTGGGGACTCTTTCCTACAGGATCTCTCTGTTTCAAGGACAAAGTCCAGCTAACAGGAAGCTCAAGTGCCCTTTACAAATGTAAGAACATGTTTGTTTTCTATATGATTGTCTAATTATAGAGGGACATGAGTCACTGTGACATGAAAGACCTTCTGGGGTGAAAGAAGAGAAAAAAGTAATAAATACGAACAATCAGAGCATGCCCCAGCAGGCTTTCCACAAAGCCGAGCATTAGGAAACCACTTTTCATATTGTATGCCATTCATTTCTCACAAAAAACATATAAGGTTGTGGGGGAAAGTTAAATATTAAATTTGAATTCAATTGAACATGGACAAAAGCAATGGTCATTAAGTCTCAGACAGGTTGCATGAGCCGCTTGAAGCATTCATCTGGCACTGTTTTGGAGAAATATCTATTTCAATCTATTCCTATGTGTTAGTTATTGAAAAACCACAGACAATTGCAAAAACAAGATAACCTTTTCAAGTTCCTTGAGCCCAGTTGTGAAGAGCCCTCGTGACTGGGCCTCATGCCAAACAACTCATTACAAAAAGAACTAGGGCTCTAGGCCACGCTGAAACTTCCTAAGACCTCTTCTTGTCTGTGCAGGGATGGGTGACCTACTCTGGAGTCGAGGCTGTTGCTTCCCGGTCTGGTAATGAATCCTCCGCAGTCTGGTGGGCGTAAATATGTATATATGTTTCCCTTCTCCCCTTCCCATTGCAATTTGCTTATTATAGCTGCACTGCCATTTACGTCAGATAAAGCTTGTTTACCCTTAAAGGTTTTTTTGGGTGTGTTTTCTTCTCCCCTTGCATGTCTCTCGTACAGAACAGAGGTTCATTTTACAATTCTCTATAAAGATGCAAATTGAGGCTGATAAAGATGCACTGGTATGCTAAGACACAGTTAGTAGCTGGCAGAGTCACCACTGTGCCTTGGAGAAGACATATGCTCAACTACTAGACAGCTGGTCCAGGAACTACAGAGTGGTGAGGAAGTCCTGGTAAAACTTGAGAAAAATGATAAAAAGAAGAGAGTTTGACCCTGGAAGGCTGCTGTCAGGGACTTCGTCAGCTTCTCCGTTGTGCCTGGTTTGGCGCATTGGCATCATTCACACCTCTAGGTTAAGAATAGACTCATTTCCTCTTGGGGAGGGGACAAGACTTTTCATGGCAAGACCATGAAACACCAGAGGCTTGGAATGTGGAGCTTGGATGAGGAAATCTCCATCCTTCAGAGACTTGGGCATGTGGAGGACATGGGTGTTTATGGTGAAAAAGGTTTTAGGCCTCTGATATCAAATTTAATGTGGAGGTAGAGAATAATTAATCCATGAATACAGTCAAGGCCTTCACGATATCATATCAGCTGTAAGACAACAGCACCCACTTGTATTAATAATCTTTATGAAGAGCATTATCCCAGAGAATTCCCAAAAAAACATACTCAGCCTACAAATGAGAAAATAAAGCTTTGTGATGTCAAATGGCTGCTCAGAAAAACACAAGTAAGAAAGAGAATCTTCCACGGTGGGGGTTGCATGAAATTCCCTTTAAGCTACCTGAGGCTCTATGTCTGTCCCTGACTTAGGGGGAAGGGCATGGGGAAGGCTCACTTTCTTTCTGTTTTAGAGACAGGGCACAGGATAAGATACCCTAAGACAACCCTTTTGACTTAAAGCAACTGAACTGGGTCTTTTAAAACCTTAAAGGGAGTGTTGAGAAATAACTACAGCAACCCCACACCTGACAAAGGTGTCAGTGCTTGGGGACTCCAAGGTGAGAGAAACCCCTCACAGGGCCAAGGAATTGAGCGGATTAACTGAGGGAACAGAAAACTCAAATAAGTATAAATCAACTGAAAGGTAACTCAAATATATCAGTTGAAAAATTGAAATAGAAACATGTTTTTTTGCCACATAGATAGCAGATTGACAAAAAAATTAAAAGAATGTTGACAACCAAGAGGTTCTGGATACATAAAAGCAGATAAATTCAGAAACTACTATTTACAGTACGGCTTTCACAACCCTTTTGGAATATATTCCGGCTTCTCCTATTAAACCTTTACACTTTCCTACTGTTTCACTGAGTAATCATTTTCCTGGGAGACTATAATCTACAAGGGATTAGTAAATGTTGTGAGCTAGATTGCATTCCCTTCCTAAAAATTATATGTTCATGTCCTAACACCTAGTGCCTCAGAACATGACTATATTTGAACATATAGCCTCTGCAAATGTAGTTAGGTTTAAGTGAATTAATTGGGGTGTATCCTAATTCCAGATGACTGGAGCCCTTATTAGAAGAGGCAGGAAGGACAGAAAAGCACAAGAGAAGATCTTGTGAACACAGATATAGTAGATGACGATCTACAAGCCAAGGATGGAGACCTCAGAGAAACCACACAGCCAGTAGCTTGAGGTTGGATTTCTAACTTCCAGAATTGTGCGACATTCAGTTTTTGTTGTTAAAGAACTTCAGCCTGTGGTACTGTATTAGGGAAGTCATAGCAAAGCGTTACAGCCTATTAGGACACAGATAAGATGTTCCCTGTAGCGGCTGGGCGCGGTGGCTTACACCTGTAATCCTAGCACTTTGGGAGGCCGAGGCGAGTGGATCACGAGGTCAGGAGATCGAGACCATCCTAGCTAACACGGTGAAACTCTGTCTCTACTAAAAAAAAAACCACACACACACAGAGAAAAAAAATTAGCCGGGCGTGGTGACAGGCGCCTGTAGTCCCAGCTACTCAGGAGGCTGAAGCAGGAAGATGGCGTGAACCCAGGAGGCAGAGTGCAGTGAGCCGAGACTGCACCACTGCACTCCCACCTGGGCGACAGAGCGAGACTCCGTCTCAAAAAAAAAAAAAAAAAAAAAAAGATATTCCCTGTAGCATGGCTGAAGTGGAAATAGAATTTATTATGTCAGGCTCCACCAGTATTAAAAGCCTAAATTACTGAGGGAAAGGCCCCACTTATGGAATCTTATAAAGACATATGAGGACACAGCTCCTGTCCTGATGGGGCTATAGAGGTGGGCTCTGGGACACATATGTAAAGAGTCATATAAGACCCTTTTGCATAACTCCCACTTTTTGGGTGAAACCTCTCTCTAGTAACAGTGTGAACTTCTAAGACTTAGAGAAGGTCTGGCAAGGCAGCGAAGCTGCCTGCTCCAGGAAGTATGTGGGGTAGGTAGATATAACAATAAAAATAATAGCAAAATGCAAAGATACTCACAACTTAATGTAAAGTAATAACAACACAAAAGTGTTTCTTTTGACATTCCTGCAAGCATATGACCAGGGACTGTGCACCTAAGTTGCCATTATGGACTAATGGAGGCCAAATTCCTCTGGGAAGGAACTGTGGGTCCTTAATGGAGAAAGCCCTAAAACGGTTTCTGGGGAATCCTCACATTTGGGTCAGGGTCCTGGGCTTCCCTGGTCTTTTCCATTTGGAGACCTCTCTGTGCCCACCTTGACTCCAGACTAGCACGGGCCATGGTTGTTGGCATGATGCACCTGCCTTTTGTTCAATGAGATGGAGTAGTTGGACTCATCAAACAGCTCCTCAGGGATCTCCTCAATAGAGTTCTGCAAAGAGAGTGCCTGGAAGCCTGGCCAAGAGGCATCAATGGCATCCTGGCTTTCCCCACAGGGGAAATTCCAGTTAGAAAGTCTACTCCCCAGATCAGGCACATAGGAGCATTTGCGCAGACCTCCAGCCAGGGAGAAAACAAGAGGACAGCTTGAAGCCTTAGAATAAATGTCTGAACAAACAAAGGTGACCCCCAGCACTCACCTTCCCCTCCTGCCAACTGTAACCTGCGGTATAAATTTGACAGGCTTTTAGCCTCCCAATACCTGGAAACCTGCTCCTGCCAAGAAAGGACCCATTATCTCTTTCTTTCCCACGAGACGTGGAGATGAGGAGGGGTGTGTGCCTGCCGAGATGATATCAAAGGTGAGGCCTGGCCTGGATAGGCCTGCCATGGGTGGCCTTGTGTTATCTATGGGTAACCCTTTCCAAATGGCCAGAAGAGCCAGCAGTGCAGAATGAGCACTGTCTCCATCATAAAAAAAAGTCTCTCTGTTCAAGCCTTCCTGAGATGAGAGCCTCAGAAATTCAAGACATAGCAGGAGAACATCTTGCTGTCTTCAGAGTCTCCTTAGTAAATACAAAGCTGTCTCTAGAATTAGGGCTCCAGGTTACCAGAGTTCTAAACTTTCTTTGAGTTTGTAACTAAGGAAGTGAGGTCACTTCGAGATTCCATCACCTGGGCTCCGGTGCGGGAAATGAACGAGGGGAAAAGAAAAGGCACCCACAATAGTTTTAAGGATAAATAGCCTTTATCCCAAGTGTATGGCAATACAGACTTGATAAGCAAATAATATAATAAGCAAATTGCAATGGGAAGGACAGAAAGAAAATATATATATGTATATTTATATACATATACATGTATATAAATATACATATATGTATATGTATATTTACACGCACCAGACTATGGAGGATTCATTACCAGACTGGGAAGCAACAGCCTGGGCTCCAGAGTCAGCCACGTGTCCATGCACAGATGAGGAGAGGTCTCATGAAACTTCAGCACAGTCTGGGACCCTAGCTCTTTTTGTAATGTGTTGTTTGGCATGAGGCGCAGTCACAGGTGCCCTTCACAACTGGGCTCAAGGAACACAAAAGATCAACTTGTTTTTGCAATTGTCTGTTGTTTTTTCAATAACTAATGTATAGGAATGGATTGAAAGATTTCTCTGAAACAGCGCTGGATGAACACCTCAAGGGGTTCATGCAACCTGTTCCAGGACTTCGTGACCATTGTTTGTGCCCATGTTCAATTGAGTTCATATTAAATATTTAACTTTTCCTCCACATTAGATTCCCAATTCTCAGAACCATGTCCACTGCCACAGGGCCTGGCTGGGAATATTGTCACTCATAGAGTTTAGAAGATGGAATGCTGGTCAGTGATGATGCTAGGGTGTTAGGTGAAGGCAGCCGGGACAGTCCCTCTAGGTTGAGGGAGGAGCTGGCCTCTCTTGTGGGGTCCTTGGCATGTCATTGCCGCTTTGGGCCTCTGTTTTCTTATGTGGAAAATGTAGGAATGATGAGCCTGTTGGGCAGGCCTCACAAGGTGGTGATGGGGCTCAGGGAGACAGAGAATCTGAGGGTGCTTGTGTCTGGCTCATCCTGAGAGGGAAGATGGTGACAGCAATCATGACAACCACATGAAACCGAGGTGGTAAGAGGCCTTGTGAGGTGGTTGGTTCCCACCACACTTTCCAGTTGAGGAAACAGCTCAGGGAAACCCGACTGCATGCCCAAAATGACACATCCAGGGAGTGTTGGACCTGGGAGTGAGTCTAGAGTCAGAGCTTACTGGAGATGGTCAGAGCATTGGACAAGCTGACTCAGGCCACTTATCCGTGTCCAAGGTTAGTGTGGCTGAGGCGTAACTGAAAGAAGCATATTTTCACTGACCTTGTCCCTCATCCTAGCAGGTGAACACCGTACAAGTTGTCTACCCTGTAGCGGAGCCTCAGAGAGCTTAGATGAGGCTGTGACAGCAGAAGGTGAATGTGTCTGTGATGGGGAAGGGCTCCAGGGTTTCAGAGAACAGAGCTTACTTCTCCCAGCTGGAAACCTCCAAATCAAAAAAGCAGAGGGCCTTTCTACTCCAGCCCTTTTCTCCTGGGGCTGCAGTGCCTAAAACACCTTCATTAGACAGACCAGAGCAAGGCCTGGGAGAGCTGGGCTCCGTGTGGCTTTTAAAACAGGTGGAGCCAGGGACCACATGACCTTGTGGCTTGTTAAAATCCCACCAAGGAGGTAATTATGGTGAGGTTGGTGGCAATAGAGGCCAGCTAATGGGAAGACATAGAGAATTGGGAAAAGGCAGCTGAGGGTTCTCAGCTACTCCAAGTGGGTAACCTAGGTAGAGGGCGCCAGGAGGCAGGGGTTTATAAGAGTTCAGCGGACAGGACTTGGGTGGGCACCTCCCAAGTCATGCCCTCTCTGGGGACATTCCTCACTGATGTGGTGATGCTGGACATTGCCATGAAGGAGTGTGTGGATGTGAGTGAGCCTGGAGAAGACAGGTCAGGGACCAGGATCCTGAGGCCTGGGAGAAGAGAGTCTTGAACTGAGCTCCTAGATCTCAGTCCTTGCCAAAATTTTTTGCGAGGGCCTCGCAGCCCTCCCCATCCCGTAAACAGGGTATTTTACTCATGAGTGATGGAGGCTCCACAGCAGCCATCAGTCCCACTCCCTGAGTAGTGAAGCTGCAGAGCTGCAAGACCTCTTTTGTGCACATTCCCTGACCCTGGTGGCTCTGGTAGTGGTGAAGCTTGGAAATCGCTGGAAATGGAGGCTAGTTATGGACCAGCGGACCTTTCTGATGGTCTTTGGCTTTCTGTCTTCCAGAGAAATGTGATCAAAACCCAGAAAAACAGAAAGGTGAGCAGTAGCTGAAGTCCTCACTTTGAGGGAGGGTGGAGGTGGAAATGAGAAATCACCCTGGGCAGGACATTCCCTGGTCCCTTCTTCCGCATCTAAGATTTATTGAAAGGGAGTAATACACAGAGAAGGAGGAGACCTATCCTAATGCAGGGTGCAATCAGGGGAGTGAAGTTGATGACAACTTCCTAGAGGAAGGGCCGTTTACATTCAACTCTGAGAACCAGTTAGGGCTGCATGATATTGGAGGGGAGGTGAGAGCCCCTTAAAAGAAACACCTCAGAGACCAGCCCTCCTCCCTTCTTTTATAAGGCCCCTACAGAGTCTTTCACCCAGGCCCTGTCAGCATCCTGTCTTTCCCTCTGTTTCCAGAAGATTAAAGTCCTCCAGGAGATGCAGCAGTTCCACACAGCTGGAAACCATCATCATCTTCAGACTCAAGAGGAATTTCGGGCTTTGTTCCAAGCCTGGAGCAGCACAATCAGAATAAAAGGCAAAGACCTAGCAGATGAGCAGAGGGTAGGAGGGGAGACTGTCTTGCCGCCAGCCTCACACAGCGTGTGGCCATGGTTCCCTGGCCGGCATCAGGTCCTGTTGCACCTGGACTCCAGCTGCTGGGGAGGAACTGGGGGACCTGAGGTGTGGCTTCTGGAACCTCACAGCTGTCACTCTTCTCTGAAGTTGCTAGCCATGAAGAACAGGCTGTGATAAAATCTCAGAGCCATTAAGTGCCTGTTGTTGGAATTGCTTTCATGGCTCATTGAAGTTTGTACTAAGCATGGGCTCTGGCAGTCAGGCAGCTCAAGTAGGGTTCCAGCCACACCATTGACCAGCCCTGCGAGTGGGGCAGAAAGCTCACTACTCTGGCACTTGAGGCATCACGTCGTAAATTTAATGCAACCAATCCCTTTTTCACTGTTACCTACCTTTCTCTATAAACACCATGACCTGATCTCTGCTAGCATTTTTCTTAAAATGGATAAACATATGTTATATAGTATATATTATTCTTCCTCATGATTTTTTTGCTATATTGTCTCTTTCCACTCATATGAGATATTTACAGCAGTTAAGTTCATAGAAACACGAAGTAGAAGAGTAGTTTCCAGGGACTACACAAAGGGCAATGGAAGGGGAGTGTTGTTTACTGGGTACAGAGTTTCACTTTTAAAAGATTGAAAAACAGTTCCTTATGAACTTGGACAATGGTTGCAAAACAATGTGAATGTATTTAATTTCTTTAAACTGCACACAAAAAAAATAATAAAATGGTTAATTTCATGTATTTTTATATTTTACTAAAAGGTAAAAACTACTTTCTAAAATGAACAGACTATAGCTATTTGCAACTGGTGGGTGAATATCACAAATGTAATGTTGCATAAAAGAAAGCAGACATGCCAGTTTGGGCAACATAGTGAAACCCTGTCTCTACCAAAAATACAAAACAATTAGCCGGGCATGGTGGTGCAAGGCTGCGGTCCCAGTGACTCAAAAGGCTGAAGTGGAAGGATATCTTAAGCCTGGTAGGCAGAGGTTGCAGTGAGATCATGCCACTGCACACCAACCTGGGGAAAAGAAAGAAAGAAAAAAGAAGAGAGAAAGAAAGAAGGAAAGAAAGAGAGAAAGAAAGAAGACAGAAAAGGAAAGAAAGAAAGAAAACAGAAAAGGAAATAAAGAAAACAGATGTACAAGTATACATACTATATAATTTTGTTTATATAAAATGCTACAATCAAATAAAACTGAGGTTCTGACTTCCACTAAGTGTGGACTAGCTTGTTGAACTCTCACAAATAACAATGATGAAACTTGAATAAAATATATTATTATAGAAAAACGCCTATGCATAATACATATATGATATGTGTGTTTAACAACTGAATGAAGATTTCAGCTATACCCACTGTAGCGGACATAAGCATTGGTTTGACACTAGCCCAATGAACCCTGTTTATAAAACAAAAGTCTTCAAGGTAAAACAGCAAAATCCAGAGTTTCTATTCTATAATTATCATTTATAGTTTCTAGTGCACAATTTTAAAATTCATAAGACTTGTAAAGAAACGTGAAAATGTCATCCATACACAATATCAAAAGCAGGCAGTAGAAGCTATCCCAGGATGTTGCAATCAGCAGACAAGAATTTGAAGGCAGTTTTTATGAATATGTTCATGGGGAAAAAAGAAAATATTCTATTCATAAACAAACAGATGTGGAACTTCAGCAGAGAAATGAACATATATATAAAAAAATTATAGATAAGGAAATGAAAAAAATCTTTTGAGTTTAGCCATAGATTTAAAACAGAAGACACAGCAATAGAAATTATCCAGTCTGGAAAAAAAAAAGTACAAAAAGTTTAAAGGAAATGAACAGAACTCTCGAGACCTGTGGAATGACTGAGTCTAAGGAGAAGGGAGAGACAAAAAATAATTAAATAGGGAACAGAAGTAAATCAACAACTAATAGCGGAATACTTCCAAAAACTGTCCAAATACCTAAATATTTATATCCAAAAGGTCAATAAATACAAAACAAAATACAAATAAAACCACAGCAAGGCCATATCGTGGTTTATGAAACAGGCAAGGCAGGGCTTTTGCTTGACTTGCTGTGATATCTAATTGCTACTATTTATGGATACTATGGAAATAAATACTAAATAGAATGGGAGATAGGTTATTCTCAGAGTTTTTTTTTTTTTTTTTTTTGCAAAGATGACTGTTATTAAAGGTAGATGACTTTCCAGCATGTCGAAAGGGGCGTGGCAGGGGAGGGGCGAGGAGAAGGGTCGGGGCTGAGGGAGGGGCCCTGCAAAGGTCTGGGCGCGCCCAGCTCCCCGAAAGCAAGCGTTACAGCAACGCTGGGCAGGCTGTTGGAGGCTCCCGGGCTCTGTCTTGTCAGAGAGAAATCAAACTTCAGGCACAAATAGTCGTACAACTGGCACGTGGGGAGACTGTGCCACAATTACAAGTGAGACCACCTGCCCTGGCCACGCTGTCTCCTCGCACGCAGAAGTTTGGGAACAGATAGGCTCCCCTCAGCAGGGCGGAATTGCACTGGAAACATGGAGGGGCGGAGGAGAAGATGAAATTATCCCCTCAGTGTTGGAACTGTAGTCTCAGAGAAGATGAAATTTTCCCCGTAGTGTTGGAACTGTAGTCTCAGATCCACTCCCAGCCTTTCTGTCGCGGCAGTCGGACTATGATCCCAGCATGCGCTGGGCTTAAGGGAGGTTCCCAGCCCTGGAGGAAGGGTCAACAGGGTGGGTCCCTCGCAAGGCGTCCTGGGAGTCATAGTCCTTAAACAGTTTCCAGCACGTTGATCGCAAGGCTACCGAACTACAATGCCAGCATGCACCGGGATTGGGGCGGTGTGTAACGCTGGAGGGAAGGATAGAGAGGCGCGTCCCTGGCCAGGGATGCTGGGAGTTATGGTCTCTTAACGGTTTCCAGCGATGGCCCCCGGCCTGCAGACTACAATCCCAGCAGCCACCGGGCTTCGAGGCGGTGTGTAGCACTGAAGGGAAGGATAGGGAGGTGCGTCCTTAGCCAGGCGTGCTGGCAGTTATGGTCTCTTAACAGTTTCCAGTCAGTTGGTCCCAGGACTACCTGACTACAATCCCAGTATGCGTTGGGCTTGGGGGCGGTGCGCAGCCCTAGAGGAAGGATCGGGACGGCGGGTACCTCGCAAAGCATCCTGGGAGTCATAGTCCTTTCAGTATTTCCAGCCCATTGGTCGCGAGGCTAACGGACTACAATCTCAGCATGCGCTGGGTTTGGGGGCGGTGTGTAGTATGGAAGCGAAGGATAGGGAGGCGCGTCCCTAGCTAGGAGTGCTGGGAGTTATGGTGTCTTAACGGTTTCCAGCCCATTGGTCGCCGACCTGCTAACTACAAAACCAGCATGCGCTGTCTGTCCTACCCCGTGGTGCGCAGCCCTGGAGGGAGGGACAGGGCGGTGTGGACTCGTCCTTTCCTAAGCGATGCCACATGCTGATTCTGTGCCACCCCCTCGCCAAGGGAGTCCGCAGAAGGACTTGAGGGGCAGGTCTAGGCTGGGCGATGAGGACGGTGTGACCCTGCGAAGTGCACCTCCCTTGCTCAAATCGGAGGGGTCTGGTCCTCACTGAACAGCCCGCTGAACATCTCGGTGTCCTCTCACATACACACCCGCGGGGGGTTTCCAGAGCATCGCACCTCTTCCAGCCCAGGGAGCCGCCTGCTCTGCTAAACTCTATGGGAACTGAGACATCCACCTGCTGCGTGACCCACCCGTGCGCAACTTCAGAGCTTTCAGGGGGTGATGCGGGCTGTGGCTCCTTCGTGAAAATGTCACCGTCTGCAGCGCCTTTCTTGTGATATAGAACTTGACGGGTGAGAGCGGGTATTTCTTGGGTTACTCAGGATCTGCTAACAGCAGAGGAGAAAACCACAATTCCCAGGCATAAGAATCTACCTAAAGACGATGGTTTAGATATTTTACAGTTGAAATCACCAGCCTCATCTCAACTGAGTCCTGACTGACGAGTGTCTCAAAAAAGCAGTTGGTGACCTCATCCCTCAGGAACAGGTGGTGCTCCAGCTTTGTGGGGATGACTTTCAAGGTGCAGAGCACTTGAGCCGCATTTGAAGTCATTCATGTTTTACATCTCTGCTTTGGATGGAAAGTTGATCCCCCACAGCCGTTGGGGATGTACCTTAATATACTGGGGCTTATGAGTTAAATTTTTCTGTCTAGACAATGAAAACCCAGAAGTTCCACTTGCAGGTAGCCTCTTAATAATCGACGTCCCTAAGTTCCTTATGTCCTCAGGATAGTTCCTTTTGTTCCCAGATGTTACCAACTTTGATGATGCATCTAATCTGTATAAACCTGTGTATTTCTCTATGTGAAAAGAATACTTTGTTCAAATTACATGTTCTTATAATTTTCACTTGTGATCGGTGAGTATGGGACACTATAAAAAAATCCTGAAAAACCTCATCATAGCAATTGAATCACGTTACTGTACTTTATGAGGAATTAACCCCTTCAGGATGAATTACTCATGGGTTCATCAGCACATTTGTGAAGAAAGGAAGAAAAACTGTATGGCCTTTATGAAATTGGAAAAATAAAGAACTATATATAGGAGGACCACAGCACAATACTAGGGCCCTTCTCTTATTTTAAATAGACTCTATGGGGTCGAATGCCTGCATTCCTAACCTATCCTGCAGTATTCTCATCCTACTCTTCACTGTGTATTTAGGTGTGGGTTTCTGAATTCACTTGTCCACAGCGTTAGTGGGGATGTTGTAACGTGAGGGTATCCATCATCTATCATCTTAATAATTAGTGAAGAGAAGAGCCTTGAGATCTGTCTTCAGATACACTGCTGCCGAGTATGTGCCTGCAAAGACACTGCCCACACCGGTGGTCTCAGAAAGTTGAACCTGATGCCACCACAAGCTGCTGTTCACAGATCTAGGTGCTCCTGGTGATTTGAGTCTCCTGCTTACATTTGTGGTTGTGAACCTGCTATGCTCACCCCATTTATGGTAGTATATTTTGTGTCACCTTTTCTATTCCATTTGTTTCCTGGGAACTCACTGTGTAGCTGCAATTCAGAGAATATGTAGGGATTCCACCCCCGACTACCTAAGTCACTGTACACTGGTCACATTTGTGTCATGTTTTCAGACTACACACTCTTCCTCTCTAATGGAATTTGTTGAAGAAATATAGTTGCCTGTAGATCTCCTCAGTGTAATGTGGCTGGGATTGATTGTGAAGCTGGGCATGTTGTCCTTGGCCTCATAGACATTATTCAAAATACCTTTCCCATATTTTGAAGTTTGATACTACTTTGTTAATGTGAACACTTGCCATAGCAGGCTCTATTAAATATCTCTGTGAATTTAACTGTCAAAACAACTTATGAAGTAGGCACATGATCCCCATTTTACAGGTGAGGAAACAAATGTTCCAAGATTTTGAGTAATTTTATTAACTTTACACAGCTTTCTGGTGCATTTTGAATCTTAAGTTGGATCTCTTTCTCCACAATATATGGGCTTACCTCCTTTTCTATTTTGTGCCTCTCTGCTAGCATCTGCAAGGGTACATTTTATTTTTAGTACATCTTCCACTTGATGGTAGGAAACTTGACAAACAGATCCTTAGTGGGAGAGGAAACTCACTGGCATTTGTCCTTCTCTCTGCTCCTTCTTACCCTGGCAGGCATGAGACTTATCAAGTGAGATGGAGCAGTGGTAGATCCTGACCAGTCCTCACCTGGAATATTTGTTATTATAAAAAAATAGTCCTCTCATTTTTTACAAGTGTAACTTCTTTGCCTTAAAGTTTTGTCTGGGCTTTCTCTTACAGGTTCCTGCGAATTAAGTTGCAAATATTGATGAAGATAATACTACTGCCTTGCTGTCAAACAGTAACAGTCACCTTTTTTTGTATCTCCAATTATAAATGCAATGCGTACTGTAAAAAGAAAAGAAAACATCATAAATATCTTTATAAAGTAAAAGTCTTGGCTGGTCGCCGGGAGCAGTGACTCATGCCTGTAATCTCAGCACTTTGTGAGGCCGAGGTGGGTGGATCATGAGGTCAGGAATTTGAGGCCAGCCTAGCTGACATGGTGGAACCCCATCTCTGCTAAAAAATACAAAAATTAGCTGGTCTCGGTGGCGGGTGCCTATAATCCCAGCTACCCACGAGGCTGAGGCAGGAGAATCACTTGAACCCAGGAGGCAAATGGTGCAGTGAGCCAAGATCGTGCCATTGCACTCTAGCCTGGGCAACAGAGTGAGACTCCATCTCAAAAACAAAACCAAACAAAAAACTTGGTTGGCCTAGTGGCTCAATCCCAGCACTTTGGGAGCCCAAGGCAGGTGAATTGTTTGAGCCCAGAAGCTCAAGACCAGTGTGAGCAACATGGTAAAACCCTCTCTCTACAAAAATACAAAAATTAACCAGTTGTGGTGATGTACACCTGTATTCCCAGCTACTAGGGAGGCTGAGGTGGGAGGATTGTTTGAGCCTGGGAGGCCAAGTTTGCAGTGAGCTGAAATCACACCACTGCGCTTCCATGTGGGCAACAAAGTGAGACCCTGACTCAAAAAATAAAAAACACATTAAACTGAAAGTCCCCTTTATTCCCTTCTCTTCAAACTCACTTTTTTTATTTGAAAAAACTGTTAAGAGGTTGTTTTTTATTCTTCTGGCTAAGTTGTATAAATTTCTTTTTTTTTCGAGACAGACTCTCGCTCTGTTGTCCAGGCTGGAGTGCAGCGGCGCGATCCCGGCTCACTGCAAGCTCTGCCTCCCGGTTTCACGCCATTCTCCTGCCTCAGCCTCCCGAGTAGCTGAGACTAGAGTTGCCCGCCACCACACCCGGCTAATTTTTTGTATTTTTAGTAGAGACAGGGTTTCACCGTGTTAGCCAGGATGGTCTTGGTCTCGATATCCGGCCCCCTGATCTGCCCACTTCGTCTTCTCAGAGTGCTGGGATTAGAGGCGTGAGCCACCGCCCCCGGCCTGTTCTATAAATTTCTAAGTGATACACACATAAAGTTTATTTTAAAAATTACATCACACTACATTAAAATTTACTCTTTCTCCAGGTGTATTCCATCTATCTATCTATCTATCTATCATCTATCATCTATCTATCTATGACAAGGCCTTGCTCTGTCACACAGACTGGAGTTCAGTAGCTCAATTATGGCTCACTGCAGACTCAAACTCTCAGGCTCAAATGATTTTCTAACTTCAGCTTCTGAAGTAGCTGGGAGTACAGGTGCATGCCACTACTCCTGGTTAATTTTTAGTTTTTGTTTGTTTTTTTCTTTAAACAGGGTCTCACTGTGTCACCTGGGCTGGAATGCAATGCATAATCACAGCTCACTCTAGCCTTGACCACTCAGGCTCAGGCAATTCTCCTGCCTCAGCCTCCTGAGCAGATGGGACCACAAATGTGTATTAACACACTTGGCTGTTTATTATTATTTGCAGAGACAGGGTCTCCCTATCCTGCCCAGGCATGTTGTGAACTCTTGTGCTTAAGCAATCTGCTACCTCGGCCTCCCAAATTGCTGGAATTACAGGTGTGAGCCACCACAACTTACCCAGCCTTTTTACTTTGTGTAAGAATAGCATCAGTGTATTAAAAATACAACGGAAATTATTTATGGTGTCTTTTCAATTCTTATGCATTAAAATTCTCTTATTAGGGCCTTTTATTAATGGTTACAGTGTATTTTCTGTGAAATTTTACTGTCACACACTGCATGCCAATGATTCAAGATACCCGAACTTCATGAATGCACAGTCACAGTAGAATATTTTAGTTATCTAAAAAGTATTTTCATAAATGATATATCAAGTTTATATGCAAGGTAGCCTGGTCTGGTAGCAGGTGCTTGTAATCTCAGTGAAGGCTGAGGCAGGAGAATGGTTTGAACTCAGGAGGCGGAGGTTGAAATGAGCCGTCGTCTCGCCACTGCACTTCAGCTTGGGTGACAGAGTGAGACTCTGTCTCAAAAAAAGAAAAAAACTTTGCTTGCAAGATTTTATGAGTAAATATGTTTCTTATTTTTCTTTACAATTCCATATTACTGTCTCGATTATTTATAATAGGTTCCAGGGCAGCAGTTGATTTTATTTTGGGTTTTACTTATGTATTATAACTTTGGATGTTATAATTTCCAACTCTGCCTGTACACTTCAAGTCAATGTGGATTTTTAAAAAAATGTTAATAGTACAAACTATTCATAGATTCAACTTCGTAATGTTAAAAGCAACGGCAGCTCCTGGTTTAAAAAGGGAACGGTGGAAGCAGCCGGCCATTTTATTTAAAATCGCGTTAGATTTTTCAGAAGGATGATAGTTAAGATCATTAAATCCCATTACTGCTTCTAAGATTTCCACAAAATAGCACATTAAATCCTCAGTCCTAAACAATCACGACAGAGATTCAAAATTGCCTCTCAATGTCAAGGTAAACAGCGCACTATCTTCTCTTGCAATAAAGGTACATCATTTGATATACAAGGGAGCATAGCAGTCAGACACTTACAAGATCGTGCTGTAGAAATAACTTCCATGTTTTCATCCGCCATGTGTATCCTCACCTCTGTCTCCCATGCAGTAACACTATCAGTTTCCTCATCTGTCCTTTCTACTTTCTTTTAAAGAGGAGGCTGATTGCAGACAATACATGACAGAGGCATTTCAAATCAGAAAGGAGTTTCTTGAGATATACGTGATTTTAGTTTTAAGTAGAATGTCCTGAAGAGTTTTAGTTACAATACCACCTTCAAGAGGATGGTGGTGAAATTCATAGTAAACATTTGGCAAAATATAGGTTATGAGGCAGCCATCTCCTAGAAACACTTCATCGGGGTTTATATATGAAATGTGAAATATCGTAGGTTTAATCCTGGCACAGAACCAAAACTGAGTGCATTGCACTTGAACAGCTGACCAATCCCCAGCACAGGTCCATATGAAGAAACGGAGAAGAAAGAATCCTTTTAACCACAGAAAGGTCTTCATTTGCCCAAACTGAAAACCAAATTTCACTCAGGAAACTAATGTTGGGTTTAATTAAAATATAAATCGGTCATACGTTTTCAAAATTAAATTATATATGTGTTTGTCTCTATAAATATGTCCCCAACTTTGCTCATGGCTTATCTTCCATATTTTTTGGCTGATTTTCAGTGGTTGTCTTATCTTGTGTGGATGAATAGTCATTGAAATAATCTTAATTTCACAATGTGTTTAATTATAAATCTATACTTCCTTTGTGTGAGAGAAAATCTTTTGTGAACAAAATTTAATTTTTGGAAAGCTTTATAAGTCCATATTTTTCCTTTTAAAAATTGCGATTGTGGTAAAAACACATAATGTAAAATTTACCATTTTAATTCTTTTTAAGTGTATATTTCATTAGCGTTAAGTACATTCACATAGTTATGCAAAAGATCTGTAGAACTTCTATGTCTTGCAAAACTAACATTAAATGTCTTTTAAGACAATTGCCCATTTTACCATCTCTTCAGTCCTTGACAAACACCATTCTAACTTTTTTTTTCTATGAGTTTGTCTACTTAAGATACCTGATTATGAATGGAATCATAGACTGTCACTTTGTTCCTGGCTTATTTCAGTTAACGTGATATTCTCAAGAATAATCATATAATGTGACTTTTTAAAGACTGAATAATATTCGACTTTGTGTATGTGCCACTTGTTGTTAATCTCTTCATTGGTCAAGGGACAGCTGGGTTGTTTCTGCCTTTTGGCTTGTGTTAGTAATGCTGCAATAAATTTGGGTGTGCAAATATCTCTTCCGGATCATGTGTTGTATATTTTAAATACATAGCCAGAATGGGGTTTGCTGGATTGTATAATAATCTCATTTTAAATTTTTTGAAGAGCTTTCATACTATTTTAAAAATAGGTTTGATGTGATAGATTATTGTGACTTTTCTTTGTATTTTTCTAGAAGAGAGTTGTCGAGTATCCTTTTAAATGCCTAGTCATTTCTATGTCTTCTTTGGAGAAAGTCATTTCAAACATGTGCCATTCTAAATCAAGTTATTAACTTTTTTTGTTGTTGAGTTTTAGGAATTTATATATTTTGAAAATTAACACCTACCAAATATGTGATTAGAAAATATTTTTACTCTTTTTAGTTATATGTATGTATGTATGCATATATATAACCCTATACAAGACAGGGTCTTGCTATGTTTTCATGGCTAGTCTCAAACTTTTGGTCTCAAGTGATTGTTCTGCCTTGGCCTCCTAAAGTTGTAGAATTAAAGGCATGAGACACCATGCCTAGCTTTCACCCACTTATTAGGTGACGTTTGTATGGCACTAAATGTTTTATTTGATGTGTAGAATAGTTGAAGCTTAATGTAGTCCCTTTTCTTGGTCGTTGTTCTTTTCCTTGTTGCTTATGAATTTGATGTCAAACTTAAGGAAAGAGTTTTAAGACTTATGTCATAAACTTTTCCCTTATGTTTACTTCTAAGAATTTTATTAGGTTTTATGTTTAAGTATTGAATTCATTTTAAAAACTTTTCTTTTTATATATGATACAAAGGAAGCATCCAACTTTATTTTTTTCTCTGTAAATATTCAATTTGGAAAACTCTTTGTTAAATGGATTCTTATTTTTCTATTGTGTGGTCATGGAAAGCTTACGGAAGATTATTTTATCACATATGCAAGGGTTTATTTCTGGGATCTCTATTCTGTTTCGTCATCTATGTATCTGTTTTTGTGGCAATACCACATTGTTTTTATTTTTGTAGCTTTGTATCATGATTTTGAATCAGAAAATGTAATACCTCTTTGTTCTTTTTAAAGGGTGTTTGGCTAGTCACCTGTCCTAAGCAACGTTTAGAATTATACACAAAAATTCTGCAAAAAAAATACCATTGGGATTTTGACAAAAATTACCTTACATTTTTATATCATCATGAGTAGTACTGACAACATTTTTTTTTTTTTTTTTTTTGGAGATGGAGTTTTAGTGAGTCACTCAGGCTGAAGGGCAGGGGTGCGAGATGTGCTCACTGCAGGCTCCGCTTCCCAGGTTCAAGCAATTCTCCAGTCTCAGCCACCAGAGTAGCTGGGATTGCAGTCGTGCACCATCACGTCTAGCTAACTTTTGTATTTTTAGTAGAGATAGGGTTTTGCCATATTCACTAGGCTAGTCTCAAACTTCTGATCTCAAGTGATCCACCCACTTTGGCCTCCCAAAGTCCTAGGATTACAGGCATGAGCCTCATGCCGGCCCTGACATCTTAACAATATTAAATCACCTGACACTTGAGCAAGACTATATGAAAGATTTTGCTTAATTTCCTCTTATTTACATATTTGCCACATTTTCTTGCTTTTGAATTCTAGTTTCATTTACATTGTATGGCTTCAGTTTTCTTAAATTTAATAAGACATGTATCCTAACAGAATGTACCATGTGTGATTTAGAATATTGCAGATTTTGCTCCTTTAAATTGGAGAGTTCTGTAAATGCTGGTTGGGTCTATAATGTTCAGGTTTGGCTTTCTTACTGATATTACTTCTGACTATTCTAGTCATTACTGAAAGTGGAGTCTTGAAGTCCACCATTGTTGTGTTGCTATGTATTTCTTGCTTGACTTCTGTCAATATTTGTTTTACATATTTGAAAGACGAGAATCAGTTGAACCTGGGAGGAGGAGGTTGAAGTGAGCCTATCGAGAGATCATGCCACTGCCCTCCAGCCAGAGAGAAAGAAACTCTGTCTCTAAAAAAAAAAAAAGAAAGAAAGATGTCAGTGCTATTTATAGTAATACAAAAATTTAATGTAATTTTTGTCAAAATCTCAGTGGTATATTTTTGCAGATTTTTCAAATTATATATATATGATTTATAAATTATTGTTATAGATTCCTGGAAAGTTAATCCATCTCACCATTACATAATACCAATCTCTCTCGGCCGGGCGCAGTGGCTGACGCCTGTAGTCTCAGCAATTTGGGAGGCCGAGGCGGGTGAATCATGAGGTCCAGAGATCGAGACCATCCTGGCCAACAAGGTGAAACCCCATCTCTACTAAAAAGTACAAAAATTAGCTGGGTGAGGTGGCGGCGTGTGCCTGTAGTCCCAGCTACTCGGGAAGCTGAAGCAGGAGAATCGATTGAACCAGGGAGGTTGTGGTTGCAGTGAGCCGAGATCGTGCCACTGCACTCCAGCCTGGTGACAGAATGAGACTCTGTCTCCAAAAACAAAAACAAAAACACAATACCAATCTGTCTCTTGTTCATATTTTTGATTTAAAATATATTTTGTTTAGTATAATTATGACCATGGCCCTCCAATTTTAGCTACTCTTTGAATAAAATATATTTTCTTTATACTGTTACTTTCAACTTATTTGAGTCCTTAGAGCTGAAGTGACTCTTGTAGAGAGCAAATTGCTGGATCTTCTTTGTTCTTAATCCATTAAATTATTTATTAATTTTCTTTAAGGTATTTAACTTTTTATATTTGAAGTAATTACTGCATTTAATGAAGTTACTTTATTATTTGTAATTGTCTTCTGTGTTTCTTGTAGATGTGTTATTTATCATTTTTTCTCTTACTGCTTTATTTCTGTTTGTTGATTTTGTAGTGACGTGATTGAATTTCTTTCTCATTTGCCTTTGCATACATTCTACAGGTTTTTTTTGGTAATCATCCTGAGAAATAAAGACTTCATAAATCATCTTAAAGTTATGACAGTATAGAACAACTATATTTCAACTGAATGCAAAGTTGTACCTCTTGACACCCCCACTGTTTTATTAATATCGCATATTATCTTTCCTTATGGTCTATGATCACAAATTTATGCAGATTTCTGCCTCATGTTTTAAACTCCATGGCAATATTTTGAAAGTTTTGTGCACCATGATTATGACAGTAGAGATTTCTTTACCTGTTTATATATTTACCTTTAATAGAGAGCTTTCTATTTTCATGTGCTGTTATGATGCTCTGCAGCATCATTTCATTTTTGGACGTGATAGACTCTTTTACACTTCCTTTAGGACTGTTCTAGTGGTTAGTAACACAATCAACTTTTATTTATTTGGAAAGGTTTAGTTTTTTTATTTCTGAAGTGATATTACTCCAGTTGAAGGTTTTTGTTTGGAAGTATTTCTTCTTGTTTAATTATCTTGCCATGTGGGGATTTCTCAGCTACTTTTTAAAAATAACCTCTTTATTACTTTTCTCCTATATTGTTTTTGTAAGACTCCTTTCATAAATATAATGGTCCACTTGACCATGTGCAGTACTTCCCATACTTTTTCCTCCATTCTGCTTAAAAAATTTGTTTTCATCACTCAATATTTATAACTACAATGTCATCAATTGTGTAATTTTTTCTCCTTTATTAGTCTGCTTTTGTGACTGTTGATTAAATTTTTAATATAGCTATTATGTTCTTCAGATTCACAATTGTTGGTTTTTAAAAATCTTTTTATTGATATCTCATTTTCTTTATGTATCACTTCTTCTAATATTCTTTTGTTGTCTATGTTCTGTTTTTGTTCATTAAGCAGTTTTTTCTAATCACATTTTATTGAAAACTGCACTGAATGCTAAATGTCCATCTTTACAATAAACAACTACAGTAACGGTAATTCGCACTACACTAAAACAAAACGTACTTCTGATAGCCATTATTTTTCTGTTTGGGACAGTCTTAAAAATTTCTCTTTTCTTACAAAAACGGGAATGTACCTAATCAAAGGATCAAAACAGGCCATCTTTTTAAACAAAAAGACTATATTCACAAAAGACTATAAATAGAACATGTAACTAATTGATGCAAATCTAATATAATTTGTTAAAATCAGTCACATCCAATACAGCTGAAGTGTTCTTGTATAAAACACAACGTGAAGAAAAGAAGACTTTATCAATGTCTTAAAAAGTGGGTTTGTTCATAGACAATCTGACAAGTTACCATTAAAAGTGTTTCCTGTGACATAAGAAAATGCAACACTATTTTTCTTGAACCCTTTTAGTGCAAGACTTCCCACTAAATAAAATAGCAGAGGATCTGAAACTGAGAAAATATACTTGATTACAAACAGCGTGTGAAACTTAATACTTTTTTTTTTTTTTTTGCATTATCAGAGGCTTTTACTGAACTTACAACCAACTTGCCCGCTCAGTATGCAGTTCAGATGTGAGAGACGCTTCTCTGTACAGGAGCCGGTACTGTCTTCAATCTTATGTGTGAGGATGTCTACCATAGGCAAACAGTTTACTCCATATTTTCTAGTAATGTGATCTTCCTATTAACAAAATGCTGTAACCAGTCCCTGTAGACTGAAGGGACTCAAGTCACAAGATGGGGATTTCCTCCTCATGGTTTTTATTTTGATGTTTGAAGTCTTGATGCAACATTCTGAGCAGGGTGTTCCAGACCTGCTGTGCCCAAGGGACTGATAAAGGAAAAAATTGTATTCATTCTTTGTGATTTGATGCACAGATGAAAAACTAAACACATAATAACGGAAGTTGGTGGTTAATAAATCACATCCTAGTCTTTCAGAGCTTCCGTAAGCAGACGACATCTGCAGTTTTCTAGGTCTTGCAGTTTTAACAGTGCAAAACCAATGAGCATATGTCCAGAATCAGCTAAAAAGAGCGTCAGATTCTTTTTCTCTTAGTTTGTCTATTTTTCACTGTCTCTTCTTCAAAAGTGTATCTGAATGATTACCTTCCGGCATTCTCTGTTATTACTCGTTGGGGTGCTCTCGATTGTCCCCGTGTTTGAGGGCTGGTTGGGAGAGGGTGCTTGGGAAGGATGTGCCACTGTGGGGAGTTTGTGAGTCACCGGGATGCCTCCAGGGAATGTCCCTTCCATGGATGCAGGAAGTCCTCCTGGACCCACGCCCAAGATGCCTGGATGAATTTCTTGCTGGTCTATTTCCCACCAAAGCACAGATGTGACAAAGAATTCCTCGTTCACACAGTTTCTTAAGCTTCCTGGGATGCGACCTGTGATGGCTCGGCGGAGCTCGGTGGCAGCTGTCTCCCTCATCTCCAGTGACACCTGCTGGCTGTAGCAGGCAGTGAGAGGAGTGCAGATGAGATTGGGGGCATCTTTCAACGGACCCTGAGCAAAGCTAAAGGGCTGCGACTCGTTCACGTCGACGACTGCCCTTCGTATCCTGCCTTCCTTGAGGGCCTGTGCTAAGGCTCTCTCGTCCACCAGGCCACCACGGGCTGCGTTCACAAGGAATGCTCCCTGCCTCATCTGCTTTATGGTAAAGTCATTGATGAGGTGGTGCTTAAGTTCGTTGAGACTGCAGTGCAAGGAGATGCAGTCGCTCTGATACAGCCAATCCTGCAGGGTGTAGACCCTCTGCATGCCCAGGGACTGCTCGATCCCATCCTGCAAGTAGGGGTAATAAAACATGACGCTGAATCCAAAGGCTGTGGCTGGAACTGCAAAAGCCTGCTGCGTGCGACCCTAGCCGATGAGGCCCAGCGTCTTCCCACGAATGCGGGCCACTCCCGAGGCCACCTCGCAGATCTGCTCCATGCTCTGAACCCGCTTGCCTTCCCACAGTGCCTGGTACAGCCATGTGTTCCTCCGGTACATGTTGAGAATGTGGCAGTTGGTGGAATTGGCTGTCTCTTCCACGGCTGCGGACGGGATGTTTCACACAGCAATTCCGAGCTCGCTGGCAGCCTTGATGTCCACGTTGTCATAGCCACTGCCCACCCCCACGATCACTCTCAAGGACTTGAAATTTGCCAGAACCTCCCTGGTGAGGTGATTGTGTGGTGCATCATGGGGCCCACGGCTCTGTTTAGAACTTTCTCGTGGATTTCCTGCGTGGACTGCATCATAGAAGGCCACGGTGGCCTTCAGGATGGGCATGTCCACAGTGCAGTCACGGCCGACCAGGAACGCTGCCAGTGAGCGGGGGCTTAGGGGGTCTTTCGTGATCTGGCGGCGAATTCCTTCACAAATTCTGTCCAATCGCTGTCTCTTGACTTAGCGCTTATCCACAGGGCCATTCTTTACGGAACTTTGCAACTCTCAGATCAAAAGGTAAAGCAGTCCTCTAAGAACTTAGGGGAACTCGCAGGAGTCTGTGTGCATGATGCCACTATGAACCCAATATAAATTTGTTCACAAACTCTATAGTTCACACGATGGGCTGTCCGTCTCTTTAAGGGAATATAGCTTCATTGGTTCAAAACCATTTAAGGTGATGAAACCCATTTGGTTGCAACTCAGCCACCATCGCGCAGTCAATCAACGAATCTCACCACGACCCCAGGTCTGGAGCTCCTGGAGTCCGCGACCGCTGGGGGTGGAGGCGGCTTCGGCCTGGTGCAGCCAGGTCCTTGCTCCTGCTCTGAGCCTCGGGCGTGGGTTGGGGGTCCACCCGGGTGTCCCGCATGGTGTCTAAGCTCCTCCCTTGCCGGAGCCCTGCGGACTGGAGGAGTGTTCATATCATTAAGGAGCTTTGATAATTATTTTGATTTTCAAAATTATATAATGCAAAAACAACAACAACAAAGAATAAACCTACAAATTTTGACCTTTAAAAGTCAACAAAGATTTTTAAAGATCAATATTTGTAGGTTTATTTTATTTCTTCAATTGGGACATGTTTTCGTCCTTTTCTGTATGCCCTGCAATCTTTTGATGAGATTCAGAAATTTATAAAACAACTGTGTAATGTAGTATGTACAAACTTGCTTACTACAAGATAATACAACAATCAGTGAGGCTGTACATCCTGGTTCTTCATTAACAGTGTCTTCAATGTGTCTTCTCTGGGCTTGTGTGTGGATTTTTAAGGTAAAGATATTTTTTCCCATTGTTTTCCAGACACTGTGGTCCTTTGCTTCCGCAGTTGATTGTAGTGTTTGTTTCTCTGAGGCTGTGGTAAGCATGTAACTTCTCTTCTCAGCAGTCATAAGTTATCATTCTCATTACTCTGCCATTTCCTTTAGCATTCCCTGTTTGGGGAGACAGAATCTAGTCATCAGCGGTAGCCCACAAAGCCAAACCTTTGAACATATGTTCCACTGTTCTCATTCTATACTGAGGGATATACTAAAAGTTGGACGTTTTCTCTTGAGCCCAATTGCTGTTCTGGGAAAGAAGAAGGGATGTGGTGAATATAAGCCAGACCTGGTTGCCTCGTACAGCAAGCTTTTCCAACCCGCCTTGTTTTGTTTTTGTTATGGCTCTGTTTTGTTTTAGGTTTTTAGCAGCCTGCAGCAATGGTTTTTGGGTTCTGTGTCTAGTGATAAGTGGAAAAGGGGGATGAGGAAAGGGCCTTACTGGCTCAACCAGAAACAGAAACTAAGAACTCATGGCTGTAGTCTCCCGTGGATGCCCCTGTCCTACAGTAAAGGAAATGTCTTTGGAATGTAAAAAGAGAGAGAATAATAGGCAACACCCCAATAGGGAAGAATAAACAAATAACAAAGATGAGAGGTGCAAAGGCCAAGGAGAAAACCTTAAAAATGTGGTGTTGGAAGTTCTGCTTCAAAGAAATTGGTTCTGGAAAATTCTAAATTTACTTCTTTTGCTGCCACAGGTGGAAATTTCCTACCCTATGCTTATTATGCTCTTAAATCTTCTAAGGCTTCTCTGTTCATCCACTAACATTCCAGGGCATTCACAGTGACAGCCAAAGTTCACCTCTTCTTTCTGCTATTCCCATGAAGCTCTTGTGGTCTGAGTGCTTTTCCATTGTTTTTGGGATCTGAGGAAATCTGCACATTTTGTGAGACTTCTATGTTAAGCTGTTTTGTAAAAATCTGTGCCTCATGTCAGAAGTTTGTGAGAGCAAAAGTGCAGGCATTGGGGTTTGGTTCACATATTTCAGAAACACCAAGGACAAATGTTTCCTCCTCATAATTTTCAGTCCTATTATTTCAAATGTGTTCCTGCAAAAAAATCAGAAAAAAAATTTATCAGAGCCCAAAGCACCTCAGCAGATATGATAAAGTTGAATCTTCTATTTCACTTTATTCTTTTTTTCATCTCTGGTAATGTAGGTCAAAAAGTTTTCTTTCCCTTAGTAGAAACTAACTTAGAAATGTGAACTCTCTATGCCAAACATATCACCTATGGAATAGTTTATTGTATCTACTCATCTCAAAGAATTTTTAAGGACCTTAATCCATAGAAAAACTTAGAAACATGCCAGGAATAGAACAAATTCTTAACTGTTACATTATTTCTTAATGAGTTATTTTATTAATTAATCTTATATAAAGCTTAGTGGGACTGTGATCTGTATGTTTTCCCTGTCCTGTTTTTACGTATGTCAAATTAGCCTATAACTTTAGCTTCAGGGGTTTCAGAAAACATACTTGAATTTATGTGTTATATAAAAAGTGAATTGGATGATATGCACATCACATTAAGAAAAGTTTTAGTTTGTGTCTAAGTTCACTGCATAGAAAAACTTATCATTAGTGTTTCCATTTACTTTCCTCAACATTTATCTGAATGATAGTATAATTTATTTCTAATTGCTTATTATATTGTAGTTTTCCACAGCATATTTTACAATATTCATGTTGTTCCCATATGTAAAAATGTAAGGCTTTTCTTTGTTTTAAAAATAATAAATTATAGGCCAGTGCTGTGTTTCATGCTTGTAATCACAGCACATTAAAAGGTCGAGATAGGTGGATCATGAGGTCAGGAGTTCAAGACCAGCCTGGCCAACATGGTGAAATCCTGTCTCTACTAAAACTACAAAAAATATCGCCGGCGAGGAGCGGTGACTCAAGCCTGTAATCCCAGTACTTTGGGAGGCCGAGACGGGTGGATCACGAGGTCAGAAGATCAAGACCTTCCTGGCTAACACGGTGAAACCCCGTGTATACTAAAAATACACAAAAATTAGCCGGGCGTGATGGTGGGCGCCTGTAGTCCCAGCTACTCAGGAGGCTGAGGCAGGAGAATGGCGTGAACCAGGGAGGTGGAGGTTGCAGTGAGCCGAGGTCTCGCCACTACACTCCAGCTTGGGTGACAAAGCGAGACTCCATCTCAAAAAATTAAAAAAAATAAATAAATTATAGCCTTTCCATTTGTATAAAAAGAGGAGTAATATATTAAGAACATAATAAAAAGTGTCTCTAATATCATTGAAATCTTTATTAAAATTTTCTTCTAAATGCTCTTTATGGGAGATTATAATGTATTTGTTGTGCAATTTTGTTACTCTAACCATATGCTAAGAATTCAAAATCTGCTCTTTATGGGAGCCCAGTTATGGTTGAACATGCTAGTTATCTGGAAAGAGTCTTCTTCCGTTGCATGCTTTGTTTATTCGGTATTTCACAGGCTAATGTTTATTTAATTTTATTTTCTAATATTATATATTCTTGTATTTCCTTGTTAGGATAGGCTGCCTTACATTATTTAATTGTGTTTTTAGATTCTGCCTATATATTATAATTTTGTATGACTATATTCAACTGTGTACAGTTGAATATGAATCAGTCAAATATGAATCAACCACACGTCTATTGCCAACATAATTCTCTGTTCATTTGCTTGTATAAACATTACTCATACTTTATTTATGACTTGTGTATTTGTTTAATTAGTTGGTGGTCAATTATTTTTTTAATCCTCTCTGGGTGAGTAGTTGTGGAAATTGTCTTAATTTCCACTTCTATATATTAATGAATCTATATTACTTTTGTGTTGAAGGAAACACTTCTGTGATTTGAAGTTAATTTTTTTTTACCTCTGAACTTTTTACTGGCCTCCTGCTCCCCAAAGGGACCTTGCTTCTGATGGCTTAGCACAACAAAAAGTCTGTATTGTTGGTCTCAGACACCACTTTCCCGTCCACTATCCTGCGGGGGCTGTTCTTTTGGATAGCTTGCAGGTATTTACTGCTGTCCAGAGCATCCAGGAGATTGAAATCCTCCCCGTCTTCTAGCAGGCGGCAGTAAGTGGCAATCTCAGCCTCCAGCTCGACCTTGATGTTCCACAGGTCCTCGTGCTCTTGGGCGTGGTACCTCTCTTCCCGGTTTTGGGATAGCTCTGACTCCAGGTGCAGCAGGATCCTGTTGAGCTGCTCCATCTGCGTCTACCTCCCTTAGGCTGTTCTCCAAGCTGACTTTCAGATATCTCATTGAGTCCAGTTCGATATCCAAGGACTGGACTGTACATCTCAACCCCCTGAGCATCCTCTCAGCAGCTCCGATCTCAGCGGACTGCATGGTGACTACTCTGGTGCTCTCCTCAGTCTGCTGGGACCAGTACTTGTCCAGCTCCTCTCAGCTGTTCTCAGCCATCTCGTCATATTGGGCCCAGATGCCTGTCATGATCTTGCCAAGGTCCTGAGACTTGGGGACATCTACCTCCATGGTCAACCAAGAGCTGGAAATCAGGTATTATAGACCTTTAACTTCCTCCTCATGATTCTTCATGAAGAGCAGCTCTTCCTTGAGGGCCTCCATCTCTGTCTCCAGCAGAGGCTGACTGACACTGGTGTTATCAGTAATGTCGCACTCCACAAACTGGCACATGGCCAGGTCTGTCTCACACTTTAAAGTCATCAGCAGCAAAATGATCATTGTCAGTCTGCAGGATGATGCAGGCACTGTCTGCAGCAGTGGCAAAGATTTTTTTATTAGTCTAATTGTCTGTCTTTATGCTAGTAACATAAGATTTTGATTACTGTAGATTTCTAACATGTCTTGAAATCAGGAATTGTAATGCTTCCAACTTTTTTTATGTGGTCCCCTGAAATTCCGTATACTTTGGGGAGTCACATTCTCTGTTTCTGTCAAAAATAATATTAAGAATTTCATAGGGATTGTATTAAATCTGCAGCTCACTTTGGGCATTATAGACACGTTCAAAATATTAAATTTTTAACTCTTGAACAAAAACATGTTGAAGAATAAATTGTTTAATTATCATGTATTTGTGAATTTTATGAATTTTCTTCGGTTATTGATTTCTAGTTTTAATCCATTTTGGTCAGAAATTATAGTCTGTAGCCTTCAGTTTTTATTATACTTTAAGTTCTAGGATACATGTGCAGAACGTACAGGTTTGTTATACAGGTATACATGTGTTATGTTGGTTTGCTGCACCCATCAACTCAACATTTACATTAAGTGTTCTCCTAATGCTATCCCTTTCATAGCCCCCCACCCCCAAACAGGCACTAGCGTTTGATGTTCCCTGTCCTGTGTCCACATGTTCTCATTGTTTAACTCCTACCTATGAGTGAAAACATGCAGTGTTTGTTTTTCTGTCCTTGTGATAGTTTGCTGAGAATGATGGTTTCCAGCTTCATCCATGTCCCTGCAAATGACATGAACTCATCCTTTTTTAAGGCTGCGTAGTATTCCATGGGGTATATGTGTCACAATTTCTTAATCCAGTCTATCATTGATGGACATTTGGGTTGGTTCCAAGACTTTGCTATTCTGAACAGTGCCACAATAAACATACGTGTGCATGTGTTTTTATAGTAGCATGATTCATAATCCTTTGGATATATACCCAGTAATGGGATTGCTGGGTCAAATGGTATTTCTGGTTGTAGATACTTGAGGAATTACCACACTGTCTTCCACAGTGTTTGAACTAATTTACACTCCAACCCACAGTGTAAAAGCGTTTTTGTTTTTCCACGTCCTCTCCAGCATCTGTTGTTTCCTGACATTTTAATGATCCCCATTCTAACTAGCGTAAGATGGTATCTCATTGTGGTTTTCATTTGCATTTCTCTGATGACCAGTGATGATGAGCAATTTTTCATGTCTGTTGGTTACATAAATGTCTTCTTTTGAGAAGTGTCTGTTCATATCCTTTGCCCACTTTTTGATGGGATTGCTCGTTTTTTTCTTGTAAATTTGTTTAAATTCTTTGTAGATTCTGGATGTGAGTCCTTTGTCAGATGGGTAGATTGCAAAAATTTTCTCCCATTCTGTAGGTTGCCTGTTCACTCTAATGATAGTTTCGTTTGCTGTGTAGAAGCTTTTAAGTTTAATTAGATTTCATTTGTCTATTTTGGCTTTTGTTGCCATTGTTTTTGGTGTTTTAGTCATGAAGTCTTTGCCCATGCCTATGTCCTGAATGGTATTGCCCAGGTTTTCTCTTAGGTTTTTATGGTTTTGGGTCTTACATTTAAGTCTTTAATCCATCTTGAGTCAATTTATGTATAGGGTGTAAGGAAGAAATCCAGTTTCAGTTTTCTGCATATGGCTCGCCATTTTTCCCAGCAACATTTATTAAATAAGAAATCCTTTCCCCATTGTTTGTTTTTGTCACATTTGTCGAAGATCCAATGGTTGTAGATGTGTGATGGTATTTCTGAGGCCTCTGTTTTTTTCCATTGCTCTATATATCTGTTTTGGTACCAGTACCATGCTGTTTTTGTTACTGTAGACCTGTAGTATAGATTGAAGTCAGGTAGTGTGATACCTGCAGCTTTTCTCTTTTTGTGTAGGATTTTCTTGCCTATGCAGGCTGTTTTTTGGTTCCATGTGAACTTCAAAGTAGTTTTTTCCAATTCTGTGAAGAAAGTCAGTGGTAGCTTGATGGGGATAGCATTGAATCTGTAAGTTATCTTGGGCAGCATGGTCATTTTCATGATATTGATTCTTCCTTTCCAGGAGCATGGAATGTTCTTCCATTTGTTTGTGTCCGCTTTTATTTCATGGAGCAGTGGTTTGTAGTTCTCCTTGAAAATGTCCTTCACATCCCTTGTAAGTTGGATTCCTAGGTATTTTATTCTCTTTGTAGCAATTGTTGAGTGGGAGTTCACTCATAATTTGGCTCTCTGTTCATCTGTTATTGGTGTATGGAAATACTTGTGATTTTTGCACATTATTTTGTATCCTGAGACTTTGCTGAAGTTGCTTATCAGATTTAAGGAGATTTTGGGCTGAGACAATGGGGTTTTCTAAATATACAATCATGTCATCTGCAAACAGAGACAATTTGGCTTCCTCTTTTTCCTAATCGAATGTCCTTTATTTCTTTCTCTTGCCTGATGGCCCTGGCCAGAACTTCCAATACTATGTTGAGTGGGAGTGGTGAGAGAGGGCATCGTTGTCTTGTGCTGGTTTTCAAAGGGAATGCTTCCAGGTTTTGCCCATTCTGCATGATATTGGCTGTGGGTTTGTCATAAATAGCTCTTATTATTTTCAGATGTGTTCCATCAATACCTAGTTTATTTAGAGTTTTTATCATGAAAGGCTGTTGAGTTTTGTTGAAGGCCTTTTCTGCATCTATTGAGATAGTCATGAGATTTTTGTCATTGGTTCTGTTTATGTGATGAATTATGTTTATTGATTTGCATATGTTGAACCAGGCTTGCATCCCAGGGATGAAGCTGAATTGATCGTGGTGGGTAAGCTTTTGGATGTGCTGCTGGATTTGGTTTGTCAGCATTTTATTGAGGATGTTTGCATTGATGTTCATCAGGGATATTGTTTTTTTGTTGTGCTTCTGCCAGGCTTTGGTATCAGGATGATGCTGACCTCATAAAATGAGTTAAGGAAGATTCCCTCTTTTTCTCTTGATTCGAATAGTTTCAGAAGGGATGGTAGCAGCTCCTCTTTGTACCTCTGGTAGAATTCCGTTGTGAATTCGTCTGGTCATGGACTTTTTTTGGTTCATAAGCTATTAATTATTGCCTCAATTTCAGAACCTGCTATTGGTCTACTCAGAGATTCAACTTCTTCCTCGTTTAGTCTTGGAGGTGTGGATGTTTCCAGGAATTTATCAATTTCTTCTAGGTTTTCCACTTTATTTCCGTAGAGGTGTTTATAGTATTCTCTGATGGTAGTTTGTATTTCTGTGGGTTTCGTGGTGATATCCCCTTTGTCGTTTTTTATTGCGTCTCTTTGATTCTTCTCTCTTTTCTCCTTTATTTGTCTTACTAGTGGTCTATCTATTTTGTTAATCTTTTCAAAAAACCGGCTCCTGGGTTGATTGATTTTTTGAAGTGTTTTCTGTAACATTCAATTTTTTTTAATTCTGTTAAAAAATTTTTTTCCTTATATTTATTTTTAGGACAATGTTTTATGAGCTTTTGACAAGACTGTGAGTTTTGTTGTTGTGTAGAGTGATCTCTATGCATCTGTTACATCTAACTGTTTTACAGTATTTTCATGTCCTCTGTTTTCTTCTTAACATTCTCTCTGGCTTTATTATTAATTACAGAACTGGTGTATTAAAATATTGTTCTCAGTATATTGCAGTTTTTTGTTTATGTTCTGACAAAATATTATTGATTTATTTTAAAATCTTCATGTGAGGTTCATATATATGTGTGTCTGTATACATAATTAGATAAATACACACAATTATATAAATGTATATTATATAAATGTATATAATTTTCCTAGGTTTCCAGTGAATAAACTTTTTTATTATTTTGTCCTTTGTTTTCTTTGACAGTTTTAACTTATAATTTATTTTATAAACTAAGACAGTTATTTAAAAAGTATTTTGCATAATGTGCTCGTGACGTTGTCTTCATTTCATTACGATTTGCATAAAATTGTTTTGATGCATCTTGCCACTTTTAGTCTGTTTTTGTTACTATATAGTAAGATGGCTCATATCTGTCATCCGAGCATTTTAGGAGATTGAGGTGGGAGGTTAACTTGAGCCCAGAAGTTTGAGACCAGCCTGGGAAACAAAGCAATACCATGTCTCTAAAATAAATAAATAAATAAATAAATTGAATCCCCTGTAGACAGATGTAGTTAGATTTTATTTTATTTTTTATCTCTGTACTCTATTTATGACTTTTGTTTGAGAAGTTTAGTTTGTGAGTAGCTACATAATTTCCTGCATTTGAAGGAATTACTTTTGACACTTTTTGGAGTAAAAGGTAAATATTAAATTTGAACTAAATTGGACATGGACTCAAACAATGGTCACCAAGTCCCGGAACAGGTTGTGTGAGCCCCTTGAAGCCCTCATCCAGCGCTGTTTCAGATAAATCTCTATTTCAATTTATTCCTATATCTTAGTTATTGAAAAACAATAGACAATCAAAAAAACAAGTTGACCTTTTTGTGTTCCTTGAGCCCCGTTGTGAATAGCCTTCCTGACCGGACTTCATGCCAAATAACTCATTACAAAAAGAGCTGGGGTTCCAGACTGCGCCAAAGCTTCATGAGATCTCACGTTGTCTGTGGACGGATGAGTGGCCAATCTGGAGCCCAGGCTGTTGCTTCACAGTCTTGTGGTGAATCCTCCATAGTTTGGTGAGTTTAAATATATATATATATCTTTTCCCTTCTCCCCGTCCCATTGCAACTTGCTTATATATTTGCTTATTATATCTGCATTGCCATTTAAGTGGGATAAAGTTTGTTTGAATCACTGGCTGTGCGTGAGGTGCAGCAGGGAGTCCCAGTTGGTAATTGTAATGCTGAGGGAATTTCCCAGCATTGATGATGCTTGCTTACTTCTTATAAGTTAAAGTGTCAATGTAGGGACTGGTTGTTACAAGAGAAATGTAAGCTGGAAAAGGAAAATTTTAATCTGACTTCCAGACTGACCCTGGTACCATGCCAGGCCTGTCTTGACTGATCAGGCTCAAAGCTATCAGCCTATTGCTGAAAAAGCAGCTGTCCGAGTTGCCCAGTCAGGGTAAAACTGAATAACTAGTCAGTTTTCAGGGCAGAAGAGGGTAAAAACCCAAATCCTATCTCAAGGATGGGAAGTTAACTCTAATAAAATTCAATGGCCTGCACAAAGTGTAAAGTTCCTTGGCATCCTATGGACTGCAGGGAAACAGTCCATTTTACCAAAGGCTAACGCTAAAATACTAGAATTTGCAGCCCTACCACTGAAAAGGAGGTCCAAAATTGTATTGGCTTGTTTGGATTCTGGAGACATCATATTCCCCACTTGGGTAACATATTACAACCTCTGCATGCAGTCACTAGAAAACACTATGAATATCACTGGAGAGAGAAAGACAGCCTGGCTTTTCAACAAGCAAAACAAGCTGAGCAACTGGCCCTGGATCTATGGCCCTTATAGGATGAGTCAACAGAACTGCAAGTAACTGTCCTACATCAACATGCTAATTGGAGCCTTAGGTAGAAACAAGATGGGAAGAAGATACCTTTGGAGTTTTAGACCCAGAAGCTGCCAGAGGCTGGCAAAGCTTATACTCTTTGAGAAGCAGCTGTTGGCCTTCTACTGCGCTTGAAGGAAGCAGAACACCTTTGTTTTAATCATGATGTTTTTATGAGGCCCCAAATTCCTATTATGACTTGGGTCATGAGCTCCCTCAAAACCCATTGGATAGGGTACACTCAAGAATGTAGTATCATAAAATGGAAATGGTACATACAAGACCAGGATAAGCCAGAACTAAAAGCGGTATCATTTTTACTTGAAGATGTGCAAAACTTGCCAACTCAGGAAACCACAGGGCAAGTCCTGCATATAGGGAAGGAAACCTCCCCTGCCCAATGGGGCAAATCCTTTAAAGAACTAAGCCCAGAGGATCAGAAACACGCTTGGTTACTGATAGTTCCACCAAATACATTGATGGGACCTGATGCTGGGAGGCCGTGGCTTATAATCCTGTTAAAAACATAAGCGTTTCTGATGAAGGGAGGGGTGTGAGCAGCCAGCTGGCTGAACTAGAAGCCATCCTCCGAACTATTCAGGAGGAGGCCAGAGCAATTTGTTGCTTGTATACCGACTGTTGGTCAGCAGAAAATGGTCTTACTACCTAGTTGCCCGAATGGCAATGAAACAAATAGTGAATAATGAATAAAGAGGTTTGGAGAAAACAATACTAGGAAGATACCTGAATCCTGATGCACATTACTATTATTGCTGTTTTTCATATTGATTCTCATGCATCTCTGCATTCTCTTGACAGACTAAACAGCAGGTAGATCAACAGGCCAAAATTTCCAGCATAAATGCAAACTTGAATGTGGGTGAATGGATTACAACACATTCAAGCCTGGCGATGAGACACATTATAATGTATGGTGGTATAATTGATAATGATTACCAGGAACAGTTAAAGTTCACTTTACACAATACCACTCCACATTCTTTTGTTACAAGACCGCAGATTCGGGTTGCTCAATTGTCAGTGGTACCTGGTACCTTGTTAACAATTAACCCCTGAGGAAATCTCTGCCCCAACAGAGGCTACGTACAGAACTGGGAAATTAAGATCCACTGGTATAGGTAGCTTAAATCCTGGAACGAAAATATGGATACAGCCTCCATCAGATCCCGCCCCTAAGGCTGTGACCTTGTAGGTATGGGAGCAGAAAATAAAAGGGTAGTACAGTTTCCTAAAAATGAAAAACAATATTATGTTCCCCTTCAGTTTTGTTGTTACAGAGAATAACCTGTCTACTAGTAATCAGTACCTGGGTCATCAGGTCTGAGGTGGAGAGTGAATTCATCAACTGGGCAGCAACCACTGCGACAGAAGCTAACCGCAGTCAATGCTGGCTATGCATCAAATTGCCAGAGGCCACAGGAAATGGACTGCCTTGCAGAGTTGTCCTTGCCAATATTTCTGAATGGCTCTGTCACTACAAATGGGGCCAAAACAACAACACTTGCAATCCAACCTGGACTTCCTTTGCTACTTTAATAACATCTTAATACACTATAATTGTAGTATAACCATTGCTGTCCCCTGGGGGGCCCTCTGGGTATGCAGACCCTATGGGTGGCCTATCTGCCCCCTTATTGGATGGGGAGATTCACTTGGGGGTGCCATTAATTCCATTCACCATCCGGGATAATATTCCCTTCCCCAATAATCTAGATGCTTACAAAGGTAGCTGGTTATGAACGTGCCAGACTCCCTGGTGGTGGAAAACTATCACAGTATTCTCCCTTGCCCCTCGTACAATCCTGCTTCAGCAACAAATTAAAATATTAAGTCCACATATAGTAAAAGCTCCTAAGATAGTAGCACTGGACTTCTGTTGTTATCAGAAGAACTTGTTCAGCTGTGTACTGTTGTGTTGCAAAATCGAATGGCATTAGGTATGTTTACCGCAGCCCAAGGAGGGGTTTGAGTCTTGCTGCATTCTGAATGTTGTGTGTATCCCTGACAGTTCTCGCAGTATTACTCTCCTTGCCGAAGACATGCAAGGACAAGTAAAACAGTTAGAATCTAACCATCAGGACCCCATCATGGACTGGCTGTCAAACTAGCATTGGCGTTGGCCGTGGTGGGTGTGGTTTCTATTAATTGTGCTTTTAATTCTCCTCTGCTCTATCTGTAATCTATACCAGTTGTGACTTCCCCGTATAACTGTAAAAATATTTTCCTATGATTCAGTGTCAAATTGAGGCTGAATGAGGAGGAAAAGTTAAATATTAAATTTGAACTCAATGAACATGGACAGAAACAATGGTCACTAAGTCCTGGAACAGGTTGTGTGAACCCCTTGTGGAATTCATCCAGCACTGTTTCTGAGAAATAGTTATTGAAAAACAACAGAAAATCGCAAAAACAAGTAGGCCTTTTCGTTTTCCTTGAGTCCAGTCACGAAGGGCCCTTGTGAGTGGGCCTCATGCCGAACAAATCGTTACAAAAAAAGCTATGGTCCCAGACTGTGCTGAAGCTTAATGAGACCTCTCCTTGTCTGTGCAGGGGTGGGTGGCTGACTCTGGAGTCCAGGCTGACGCTTTCCTATAGGCAAAGCTCAGGGAACAGAGGAGAGTCACATCAAATAGTTGATGAGTCAAGAGATATGTCACAGGGACTCCTGTATGCAGGGTCCAGACAGGAAATCCACATCGTTTTGGTGCTGAGCCCAGCAATATATTACAATGTCTTCTGAGGGAAGAACCAAGGCAAAAAATTAATGTCACTTTGGTGTTAAGCCCAGTGATACATCACAATTTCCACTGCAGGAAGAACCTAGGCAGAAGAGAATAGTTACATCAGCTAGATGGTGCCACCATTGATATGTCACAATCTCCACTTGAACAGGAATCAGTCAGCAGAAGCAAGTCACATCACCTGAGTGATGGGTGCAGAGATAAGTCACAATGTCCCCTGTAGGCAGAGCACAGAAAGGAGAGCTGCATAACCTGGGTGTTGGACCCAGCAATATAGCTTATATGGTAGACCCCTGGCAGAAAAATTACAAAACATGGGTGCAGCACCAAGTATATGTTATAATGTCCCCTGTGAGCAGCACCAAGGCAGGACAGGAGACTCGCATCACTTGGTTGCTAAGACAAGTGATCTGCTACAATCTTCTTTGTAGGCAGGGTGCACACACTTTTTTTAGGTGGTGAATGCAGAGAGATGTCCCAAGGCCCCCTGTGAACAGGGCTCAGGCAGTAGCCATCAATTCCCTAGGTATTATGCCCAGCAGTATGTCACAATATACAAAATATGCAGGGCCCAGGGAAAAGAGGAGAGTCACATCATGTGGGTGCTTGTCCCAGTGATTTGTTACAATCTCTCTTTTTGACAGGACCCAGGCAGAAGAGGGGGGTCATAGGTGCTGGGTTCAATAATGTCACAATTTTATCATGGGCTGGGCTACGCAGAAGAGTCAAGTCACTCACGAGCTGGGCCGAGATATATTTCACAGTTATACCTCCAGGAAAGTCCAGGGCTGAGACTGACAATCCTGCACATGTCCCATATCTAGGTGTGAGAGCAAACACATTGTGTTTGTTGGGTCTAAGTGTAGAAGTCACAGTCTCAATGGTGCACTGGATCTGTGCATGGCAGCTTCAGTCTTTCCCGAGGACCGTGGCCCCTTAATGGAGTCACAGCCTCACGTGTTTGCTGAATGTTGGTTTTAGAGTCACTGACTCAAACATGGATCGCATCCACTTATGAGAGTCAATTATTCATCTCTCAACCGCCTCCAGGTGTGAGATTTGGAACCTCAACAATGGGCTGTGTTCATGTGAAAAGATGACAATTTTTACTCTTGGCTCAGCGTAGATATGAGTGTCACAATCTACTTTTGTTCTGGGCCCTGTCAGGACACTCTCTTCACCATATGCAGCCTTTATAGAGTATGCATGAGTGTAACAATTCTCTCTGAAACCTTAAGCAGGCACGGACCCCTCCTTGTACCTTTAGCTTTAAGCCCTGGTATGACAGTCAACATCTTTCTACTTGGATGGGTCCAAATAAGAGTTCTTAACTGCCTATGAGCTGCGTTTAAAAATGAGTCACCATCCCACCTGTGGCTGGATGTTCACATATGAAAGTCACAATCCCAGTTGTGGACTGTGTCTGCATGTGTAATTCAGGACCTCAAGAGTGGGCTCTCTCCACGTGTGATAGAGACCATCCTGAATATTGGTGTGGTGTGCATCTGAGAAGTATAATCTCACCAGTGTGGCGAGCCCTGTGGTGACAATTTCTCTACCATAGTTTACACAATATGCAAGACAGTGGTACTCCTCCGTGTGACGTATCACTGGGCCTTGCACACAGGTAATGTGAGTCTCCTCTCCTGCCTTGGAACGCTCACAGGAGGCATTGGGTCATACCACTGAAGCTGATATTCAGGTTATGTGCCTGTCTTTCCTGTGCTCTGTCCATGGGCTTTTGTGACATATTTCTGGGTCCAAAACACAGGTGACATAACTCTCCTGTCTGAACTCTGCCTAGAGAGGGCATGGTGGCATATCTCTGCACCAGCCACTAGATGATGTGACTCTATCTTCTGTCTAGTCTCTGCCTACAGGGTGAATTGTGACTTATCACCCGGCGCAGCATTTAGCTAATGTGACTCTTCCCTTTTTTCAGGTTCTGCCCTCGGGGGAGATTGTGACATATCGATTTGTAAAACACCAAAATGATTTTACTCTTTTATCTTGGCTCTGCCCTCAGAAGGCTTTGGGATATATTGCTGAACAAGCACCAAGGTAATGTGATTGTCCTACCTGAACCCTGCCCACAGGGAGCATTGTGACATATCTCTGAGCCCATGAACTATTTGATATGGCTCTATTCTCTTACCTGGGCTTTCGCCATGAGAAAGATTGTGAAGTATTTCTTGGTCCAGTGCTTAGGTAATGTGATTCTCCTCTCCAGCCTGAGACATGCCCACAGAAGTAAGAGTGACATCTCTGGGCCTAGCCCACAGGTGATGTGAACCTTATCCCTTGTTTCTGCCCAGGGGAGTCATTGTGATGTATCTCTGAGACCATTATTAGAATGATGTGACTCTCCTGTTCTTACTGCGACCTGTCCACAGTGGGGATGATGATGTATCACTTAGGCCAGCACATATGTGGTGTGACTCTCTTTTCATGCCTGTGCCCTGCCCCCTGGGTTAATTGTGACATATAACTGGGCCCCTCCCATAGGTTATGCAACATATCCCTGTGATAACACTCTTTGTACCATTTAAGAGCTTTATATAATATGAGAGAGTTGTATTCCTCTAAGACCTTCATACAAAACGAAGAGTTAAGACCTACCGGTTTTCCAAAGCCTCCCTATGAAAAACAGTATTTCTCTTAGTGGCAGGTTTGAGGTATGAGAGTCATTATTACACCTGTGAGCTGGCCAAGATATATGTTTCAATCTCTTCTGTGGGAAGGGAGTGAGCAGGAGAGTCACGTCACCGGGATGCTTGGCCTGAGATCTGTCAATATCTTCCCTGATGGCAGGGAACAGGTAGGAGAGTCACATACCTAAGGCTGGGCCAGGGATATGTAACAATGTTTTCTGAGGTCAGAGGCTAGGAGGGGAGTCCCATCACTTGTGTGCTCACAGGGGATATGTTACAATCCCCTCCTGAAATCAGAGTACAAGCAGCAGAGTCAAATCACCTGAATATTGAGCTCAGTGATATGTCACCACACTCCCTGTGGGCAAGGCCATAGCAGGAGAGAAACATCACCTGATTACTGATTACTGGGCCCAGTGATATGTCAGAATCTTTCCTGTGGGCAAGGTGCAGGCAGAAAGGAGAGTCACATCATCTGGTGTTGGAAGCAGAAATATGCTACAAGGCTCACTGTGGACAGAGTTCAGGCAGGAGCCTCTAATCTCCTAGGTGTTAAGTTCAGTGATACGTTACAATGCTCCCTGTGGGCAGCACGAAGTCAAGAGAATAGAGCCACATCACCTATGTTCTAGGTCCAATGATATGTCCCAATTTTATTTGTGAGCTGGGCTTAAACAGAAGAGTCTAATCACTCAGGTGCTGGACAAATGTGTATGCTTGTCACAATGACACCTGCAGGAAAGTCCAGATATGGGATGAATCCCGCACATATTCTGGTTTTATGCATGAGAGTGAACACCTTCTGTATGTTTGATCTAAGTACACAAGTCACTATCTCAATAGTGGACTAAATTTGTGCATGGCAGCCCCATTTTCTCTTGCGTACTTTGTCCCCTAATTGAAATCACAGCTTCCTAGGTGTGCTGACTCATGATCTGAGAGTCATCAACACATCTGTGACTCTCAAATATGAGAGTCAATTTTTCAACTTTTCAATCTGCCTTTGGGTATGGGATTCAGAGCCTCAAAAGTGAACTATGATCATGTGAAAGAACGACAATCTTTAATGTTGGCTGGGTGTGCATCCCAATGTCATTATATTACTGTGTGCTGAGCCCTATTAGGACTTTCTGTGTTGCACCTGACGGCTTTATGTTGTATGCATGACAGTCTCAATTCTTTCAGAGATTTTCATGCTGGTATGGACCCATGATCAAACCTGTGGCCCTAAGCCTATATATGAGTCAACATCTTTACAATTGGCGGGGTCCAGATAAGAGAGTCATCAGCTTTCTATGCGCTGGGTTTATAACGAAGTTCCCATTCCAACTCTGGCCAGATCTTTACATATGAGATTCGCAATTCCAACTATAAACTGCATTCATGTGTGAAATTCAGGACCTCACCAGTGGGTTCTGTTTATATGTGAGGGTGAAAATCATAATGGTCAGGAGGGTTCAGGGTGCGCATAGGAGTAACAAATTTCACCTGTGTGCTGGGCCCTGTGATAAGACTCTCTACCACCTGAGGACTTTCTGTAATATATGAGAGAGTGGATGATCTTAGCGAGGAGACCCAGGGTTTTTTTTCATTTCCCTAAGTGTAGCTAGGAGAAGCAGTATCTCTTCTATTGGCTGGTTTGACATATGAATGTCATCATTGCACCTGTGTGTTGTGTTCCAAGATATATGTAACAATTACACCTGCATATAGGAAGAGAGCAGGAGAGTAAAATCAGTTGGATGCTGGGTCAGTGATATGTCGCTTCCCTGAGGACAGGGACCAGTCAACAGTCACATTACCTGAATGTTCAGGCATTGGTATGTTGCAATCCACTCCTCACATTAGGAACGAGGCAGCAGAGACACATCACCTGCATGCTGGATCTAGCAATATTTCACAATCCTCTCTGTGGTCAGGATGCAGGCAGAAGAGTCACATCTTCTTGGTGATGAATGCAGAAATATGTCACAAGCTTCACTGCACGTAAGGTAGAGGAATAAACCTCTTATTCCCTAAGTGTTGGGCCCAGGGATATGTCACAATACCCAAAATATGCAAACCCAGGCAAAAGAGAACAGTCACATTACCTTGGTGTTAGGGTCAGTGATATGTCACAATCCCCTCTTTTGGAAGGGCCCAGGTAAGAGTGGAGAGTCACATCGCCTAGGCAATGAATAGAAGAGTATGTCATAATACCCCTGTTGGCAAGACCTATGCAGAAGAGTCACATCACCTATGTGTTCAACCCAGATATATGTTACTGTACACCATGTATGCAGGGCCCAGGCAAGAGAAAAGGCCACATCACCTCGGTTCTGGGCCCAGCAATATATCACAATTCCCCCTAAGAGGAGGTAACAGACAGCAGAGTCACATCACCTAAGACTGAGGAGCAGAGCTATATGGTAGTTCCCTGTGTGTGTGGGCCCAAAAATAGAGGAGAGTTACATCACCTGAAGACTGTACCCAGCTATAAGTCTTAATCACCCCTGTGGCCAGCACCCAAGCATGAGAAGAGAGTACCATCATGTAGGTGCTGTGCCAGGCTGTATTTCACAATCTCCACTATGGATAGGTTTCAGGGGGAAGAGGAGCATTACATTATCTAGTTGATGAGTCTAGAGATATGTCAAAATGACCCCTCTGGAGACACCAGGATGCAGAATCACATGACCTGTGTGCTGGGTCTAGGAATAACCCACTCTCCCTTCTGTAAACATGGCCATGGCAGAAGATGAGGGTCACATATTTAAGGTGATGAACACGGAAAGATTTCACAAGGCTCCCCATAGGCAAGACCCAGGCAGGACTTTCCCTTCCCTCAGTTGTTGGGAGGAGAAATACATCACAATGTGGGGCTCAAGCAGAAAACAAAAGAAATATCCCCTATTTTCAGGGCTCAGAATTATGTCACAATCTCTCCTATGGGCAAAGCCTTTGTTAAAAAAGGAGAATCTTGTCAAATAGTTGATGGGCTCAGAGATATGTCCCAATGCCATATGTTACAAATTGCTGTAGGCAGGCTTCAGGCAGGAGACTCACCTTGGTGTTGGGCCCAATAATGTGTCACAGTGCTTTCTGCTTGCAGAGCACAGTCAACAGAGTAATGTCACTGAGAAGTTGGACCCACCAATGTATCACAATCTCCTTCCAAACAAATCCTAAAAAACAAAAGAAGAGTAACATGAGATAGGTGCTGGGCACAGTGATATGTCACAATCCTTTCTTTAAGCAGGGACTAGGCAGGAGAAGAAAATCACGCCACATGGGTGATGGGCTCATAGATATTTCACAATGTCCCCTTAGGCAAAGCTCAGGAAGGAGAGGTAAATCATCTAGGTTTTGGATGCAACAATATGTCAAAATGGCCATTGTGGACTGGGCACAGGCAGAAGAGTCACATAACATGGATGTGGGACCCAGCAATACATCACAACACCCCTGTGAGTAGCACTAATGCAAGGCAGAAAACATACATTACCTAGGTGCAAGGCCAAGTGATATGTCCCAATGTCCCCTGTGGGCAGCACCAAGGCAGGAGATAAGAGTCACATCATTTAGGTGCTGGCTTCAGTGATATATCAGAATCCCATCTGTGAGCTGGACACAGGAAACAGAGCTAAAACACTCAGGAGCTGGGCAGAGATGTATGTCACAATCCCACCTGCAGAAAGCGACAGGGATGAGATGAACAACTCCACACATGTCCGGATTCCAGGTATGAGAATTTGTATGTTTGGCCTAGGTACAACAGTCCCAATCTCAACAGTGAACTGGATTCATAAATGAGTCTTCTCTGGCTGAGAAGAACTTCTCCCCTTAGGAGAGTTACAGTCTCACAGATGTAATGAATTTTGGTTTGAGAGTCACCCACCTACCTGTGGACAAGATCCATATATGAGAGTCAATTTTCTCTTTCTTTCTTTCTTTCTTTCTTTCTTTCTTTCTTTCTTTCTTTCTTTCTTTCTTTCTTTTTTCTTTCTTTCTTCTTTCTTTCTTTCTTTTTCTTTCTTTCTTCCTTCCTTCCTTCTTTCTCTTTCTTTCTTCTTTCATTCTTTCTTTTCCTTTCTTTCTTTCTCTTTCTTTCTTTCTTTCTTTTCCTTCCTTCCTTCCTTCCTTCCTTCCTTCCTTCCTTTCTTTCTTTCTTTCTCTCTCTCTTTCTTTCTTTCTTTCTTTCTTTCTTTCTTTCTTTCTTTCTTTCTTTCTTTCTTTCTTTCTTCTTTCGGTCCCTTGAGACGGAGTCTCACTCTATCGCCAGGCTGGAGTGCAGTGGGGCGATCTCGGCTCTCTGAAACCTCTGCCTCCTGGGTTCAAGCAACTCTCTTGCCTCAGCTTCCCGAGTAGCTGGGATTGCAGGTATGTGCCATGACGCTCAGCTAATTTTTGTATTTTTAGTAGAGATGGGGTGGACAGGCACAGTGTCCCATGCCTGTAATCCCAGCACTTTGGGAGGTCGAGTTGGGTGGATCACCTGAGGTCAGGAGTTTGAGACCAGCCTAATCAATATGGTGAAACCCCGTCTCCACTAAAAACACAAAAATTAGCTGGGAATGGTGGCATGAGCCTGTACTCCCTGCTACTCGGGAAGCTGAAACAAGAGAATTGTTTGAACCCGGGAGGCGGATGTTGCAGTAAGCCTAGATGGTGCCACTGCACTCCAGTCTGGGTGACAGAGCAAGACTCTGTCTCAAAATAATAATCATAATCATAATCATAATCATAATCATAATCATAATCATAAATAGTAGAGAGACGTGGTTTCACCATGTTGGCCAGGATGGTCTTGATCTCCTGATCTCATGATCTGTCCGCCTCGGCTTCCCAAAGTGCTGCGATTACAGGTGTGAGCCACTGAGCCACGCCGGTTGTGCCCATTTTTGAGGATGGCAACTTTTATTGTCACCAGAGTGTGCATGAGTGTTAGAATCTCACCTGTTTGCTGGGCCCTGTTAGGACACTATGTACCTCCTGTGGGCCTTGTAGAGTATGCATTAAACATAATCCACTCTGAGGTCTTCATGCTGATATGAACCTATGATCATACCTGTGGCCATAAGTCCAGGTATGAGAGTCAACATCTCTCCAGCTGGCTGGATCCAGATAAGAGGATCTTTACTTGGCTGTAAACTGGGTTCAGAAATAAGTCACTATCCCCACTGTGACTGGATGTTCACAAATGATAGTTACAATTCCAACTGTGGACGGCATTCAGGTATGAGGTTTAGACCTCCCTAATCACCTCTGTTCCTGTGTAGGAATGAGAATTCTGATGATTGGTGGGTGTGCACACAGAGAACACAATCTCACCTGTGTTCTGGGCCCTGTGATGACACTGTACCATCTGAGTGCTTTACAGGATATGCAAGAGTGCTTACTTTCTCTGACCTTCATAGTAAGAGAAGACCCATAATTTTGCAAGTTTTGTTAAGCCTGGCTGTGAGAGAAAGTATCTCTGCTATTGGTTGGTTTAAGGTATGAATGTCATCGTCACACCTACATGCTAAGCCAAAATATATGTGACAATCTCACATTTGGGTAGTCAGAAGCAGGACAGTCTCATCACCTGGGTCTGTGTCAGGGACATGTTGCAGTCTTCCCTGAGGACAGGGACAAGGCAAGAGAGTCACATCCCTAAGAGTTCTGCCAGGGATATGTTCTTGTTCCCTCCTGAAAGCACGACACATGCAGCAGAGTCACCTCACCTGGGTTCTGGGCCCAGTGATATGTCACAATTTTCCCTGTGAACTAAGCACAGGCAGGTGAAACACATCACCTGTTTGCTGGGCCCAGAAATATGCTACAATTTTTCTTGTGAGCAGGGTTCAGGCAGAAATGGGGGGGGATCATATTTTCTAGGTGATAAATGCAGAGCTATGTCACAAGGCCCTCAGTAGTCAGGGTCTTGGTAGAAGCTTCCTATTGACTAGGTGATTCGCACAGTGATACATCACAATAGCTAAATTATGTGGGGCCCAAGGCAAAGAGGAGAGTTGCATCACCTAAGTGATGAACAAAAAATACTTCATAGTACCCATGGGGAAATGGCCCATGCAGGTGAGTCACCTTACCTACGTGTTGGACCCAGTGATATGTCACAATACACAATAAATGTAGGGCGCAGCCAAGAGCGGACAGTCAAATAGCTCAGGTGCTGGGCCCGGTGATACATTGTAATCTCTCTTTGGTCAGAGCCCTACAGTAGAAGAAACTCAGTTCACCTCGGTGCTGAGGTCAGCCATATGTCACAATACCCCTGAGAAATGAGCCCAGGCAAAGAGTCACTACATTTAGGTGAGAGGCCCACAGATATTTTGCAATGGCTCCTGTGGGTAGCACTCTGTAAAAAGACAGTCACATTACCTAGAGTCTGCCCGCAACGATTTGTAACAATCCCTGCTATAAACAGGTAGCAGTCAGGAGAAGTGAGTGCCATCACCTGGGTGGTCAGTGTAGAGATATGTCACAATGCCCCCTGTAGGCAAAGTCTAGACAAGAGTTACATCACCTGGGTGTTGGACCCAGCAATATGTCACAATGGCTCATGTGGGCAAAGCACAGGACAGAGTCACATAACAAAGTGCCAGGACCAGTGTTAGGTCAGGATACCCATTATGGGCAGTGCCAAGACAGGAGAATAGAAGCATATTAATTAGATGCTGGATTCAAGGATATATCACAATCTCATCTGTGGGCTACACCCAGGCAAAAATGTCAAATCACTCAGGAGCTGGCTAGAGGTGTACGTCAGAATCACACCTGCAGGAAGGTCCATGGATGAGATTAACAATCCCACATAAGTTCCGGTTCTGGGTATGAGAGTGAACGCCTCCTGTATGTTGCATCTATGTGCATAAGTCACAATCTCAATGGAGGAATGGGTTTTTTCCATGAGAGCCTTAATCCCTTTTGAAAACGGAGTTATCTTAGTGGATTCACAGCCTCACAAGTGTTTTGGATCTTGGTCAGGGAGTCACAAACCCACTTAAGGACAACATCCACTTTTAAGAGCCAATTTTCCAACTTTTGACTGCCTCTGGGTGTGAGTTTCAGAACCTCAATTATGGTCCATGTTCGTGTGGGAGAATGACAATTTTGACAGATGGCTGGGCTCAGGCAGGAGCCTTTCATCCTGCAGGTGTTGAGACAAAGGATATGATACAACACCTAAAATATGCTGGGTGCAGGCAAAAGAGGAGACTCATATTAGCTGGTTGCTAGGTCCAGTTATATGTCACCACCTCCCTTTTTGGCAGGGCTAAGGAAAAAGAGGAGAGTCAGAGCTAAAGAAATGTCATAATGTCCCTGTGGGTAGGGTCTATGCATAAGAGTTGCATCACCTAGTCATTGAACCCAGCCATATATTAGAATACATAATGTATACAAGGCCCAGGCAAGAAAGGAGAGAATATCACATAGGTACTGTGTCCAGCAATATGTCACCATACCCCCCAGAGGGGAGGCTCCAGGCAACAGGGCAACATTACCTAAGTGAAGTGCCCAGAGAGATGTTTCAATGCCCCTGGTGGGTAGGATTTTGAAAAACGAGAAGTTACAGAACCTAGGGGCTAGGCCTAGCTATGTGTCACATTCATCTCCAAGACAGAGCCCAGACATGAGAGAAAAGTCACATGATGAAGGGCATGTAATATGTCACAATCCTTATGTGAGCAGGCCCTAGGAAGAAGTAGAGAGTCACATAGTCTAGATGATGGGCCCAGAGACATTTGACAATGACTCCTGTAGGTAGGGACCAGGCAGAAGAATCACATCACCCCTGTGCTGTGCCCAGTTATAAGTCACACTTCCTTCTGTGGGCATGCCCCAGGCAGGGAGAATTCACATCATCCCAGTGCTAGACCCAGGGATATGTCACAATCTCTCTTATGGGCAATGCTCTGGTAAGAGAGGAGAGTTGCATCAAATAGGTGATGCACCCAGAAGTATGTCACGATGCCTTCTGTGAACTCGATCCAGGCAGAAGATTCACATCAACATCAACTTGGTGCTAAGCCCAGCAACGTGTCACAATCCCTTCTGTGTAAAGGGACCAGGCAGGAGAAGAGAATCACATCACCTGGCTGATGAGCACAGAGATATGTCACAATGCCCCTGTAAGGCAGGGCCCAGGCTGTTGGGTTACATAGCCTGAGTAGTGGACCCAGCAATATTAACACAGTGTCCCATATGGGCAGTGCACAAGCCGGAGAGTCACATAACCTGGATGCGAGGCCAAGCTATATATAACAACGCTTCCTGAGGGCAGCGCCAAGGCAGAAGAGGAGACTCACATCACCTGGGTGTAAGGTCTAGCGATATGTCAAACTGCTCACTGTGGGCAGTGCCAAGGAAGGAGAATAGAGTTACATCCTCAATGTGCTGGATCCAGCAATATGTTAATATCCCATCTGTGGGCTGGGTCCATGCGAGCCCGTCAAGTCACTTAGGTGCTAGGCACTGGGAAATTTCACAATGGAAGCTGCAGAATGGTCCAGGAATTAGATTAACAATCCCACAGCTGTCTCAGTGGTAGGCATGACATTCAACACCTCCTGTATGTTGGGTCTAAGCCCAAGAGTAACCATCTCAACACCAGACTGGATTTGCGCATGACAGCCTCAATTCCTCTGCAGACTGACCTGTGTTCCCGTGAGAGGATGACAATAGTTACTGTTGGCTGGGTGTGCATATGAGTGTGACAATCTCACCTGTGTGCTCGGCCCAGTTAGCACGCTCTGTGTACTACCCAATGGCCCTATACAGTATGCATGAGAGTCGTAATCAACTTTGAGACCTTCCTAATGGTAGGGACCCATGATCATACTTGTAGCATTAGGCCCAGGGATGAGAGTCAACATCATTACAATTAACTATGTCAGGATAGGAGACTCATCCCTTGCCTATGAGCTGAGTTTAGATGTGGGCCACCATTTTAACTCTGGTTGAATGTTTATATATGAACACAGGCCTAGCACCAATGTGATGTGAGTCTTTGGCCTAGACACTTCAAGCAGGAGGCAATGTGACATATCTCTGGGTCTATCAACTATTTGATATGACCTTCCTTTTTTACCTGAGCTTTCCCCATAAAAGAGATGTGACATATGTCTAGACCCAGCACCTGGGTGATGTGGCTCTTCTTTATTGACTGAGCCCTGTGTATTTTGGGTATTCTGACATATCCCTGTACCTAACTTCTGGAAGATAAGAAGATCCAACATGGGCCCTGCCTAAAAAGTCTCTTGTGACAAATTTCTACATGAATCACCTTGGATATTTGACTCTTCTCTCTTACCTGAGCTTTGCCCATAAGAGAGATTGTTACGTACCTCTGCAGCAAGCACCTAAATGCCGTGACTCTTCTTTCTTGCCTGGGTCATGCCCACAGATGAAAGGTGGCTTATCGCTGTGTCCAGCACACCGGTTATGTGATTATGCTGCCTGATCTCTTCTCACAGGAGCTGTTGTGACAAATCCCTGGGCCCAGAAATTATTTAATACGACTCTCCTCAATGACCTTAACTTTGTGCATGGGATAAATTGTGACATACCTCTGGATCCAGCACCGAGGTGATGCGACTCTCCTTTTCTGCATGGGCTATGCTTACAAGAAGGAGGCTGACTTATTGCTGTGTTGACAACTGATGTGATACCTCTGTTCTTGTCTTCCTAGATTTTAAGAATTTAAACAAGAGACACAAAGAAAAAAAGTACAGCATAATTTATTGGAAAAGAAAATATTTGAAAGTTAAGTGCAGAATACAGTACACCCTGAGAGAGATACTCCAGGGCTGACTGCTCATAAGAGTGAGACAGCGTGGACTGTCGCTGGAGAAACCCCTTTATGGCAGTTTTACATTATTATTAATAAGGAGGAGGGAAGAGGAGTTGCTAGTAAACATGTTCTCTGTGGTATTCTGGGTGCATATGCGCAGTAGCTGTACATGCTTGTTCATATGTTGCATGTCTCGTTAGCATCTTATATTTCCACCCAGGAGTGTATTTCTGTGTGTTTGTTTGTTTGTTTGTTTGAGACAGAGTCTCGCCGTGTTGCCCAAGCTGGGGTGCAGTGGTGTGATCTCTGCTCACTGCAACCTCTGCCTCCTGAGTTCAAGCCATGCTCGTGCCTCTGCCTCCTGAGTATCTGGGATTACAGGCATGCACCATCATACCCTGCTAATTTTTGTATTTTTAATTTAGACGGGGTTTCTCTATGTTGGCCAGTTTAGTCTCGAGCTTCTAGTTTGAAGTGATCCATCTTCCTCAGCCTCCCAAAGTGCTGAGAGTAGAGGTATAAGCCACCGTGCCTGGCTAGGGGGTGCATTGTTTGCTATTAAAATAAGCAAAATTTAAGTTTGAGGGCAGGTGAAATCAAAATACACATGCTCTCTAGAACAGAAAGTCCTTAATGAGGATAGCTTTGCTCGAATAAGCCCAATTACAATGCGAATGCTACGGCTTATTGTGTTGGCTGTACAGTCACCATGGTTTCTGTATCCTGAGATCATGGTCATTTTCTGTACTATCTATTCTGCCTCAATTTCCCCCTAAGAGATTTTAGGGCAATAACCATATTGGAGGTTGAGGGGTTAGACCACTTTTTCTGGAGCTGTTTCCTGCTGAGTGGGTGTTACTTCTGCCTAGCCTGGGCCTTAAAGTTTCTTCCTGTGTGATCTAACAGGGTGTAAACCATGTCATTCGTGGAACCAGTGGGAAGATGTTGGCAGCCAAAGATTGAAAGCCTTGCAAACCATCATGCAAACATGGAGCTGCCACAAGCAACATAGCAGGAAATCAGTTAACATTTTAAACAAAATTGGAACAAAAGTAGAAGTTGAAAATATAATAATGACGGGTACTATTAAAGAGAGCAAGGCAGGCAATGGACATTGCTTTCATGTTCCCATGGAAGTTCCTAGAGATTCAATTTTGTCTGCCTGGGTGATGATATTATTAATATTTTCTTGGAATAAACCAGAATGATTGATCTCAAAAAACAGCATTCTTCTTTTAGATATAAACATGTTCCTCTTTGCTTGGCTGGGAGAAGATCCCAGGCTCTTTGATTTTGTTGGAATGCAGTGGCCATGGAGTCCAGATGTTGTTGAAGTCTATTGAGGCCCTCTGCTGCCTGTTGGGGACACACTGAGATTTTCTGAGATAGTTTATACTGGATTCCCAAGGCTCCACCTTATGGTGACATTTGTGCTGCAAAAGTATTCTGCTTTAAAATGGTGAAAGCAGCAAAAGTTTTAAGTCTTTTCTATTTTTCGCAAATAAGAAAAAGTTTTGTGCAGCTGAGTTGGCAGCAGTCATTGGGTCCATTTATGGATGGTAAAGTTGAATGGTGGTCAAAGTTAGAGACTGGAAGGCTTCAGTAAACGCGCTGAAGTTGTCTGAGAGCCATCAGAGCTGTTGCTTACATTGGATTAGATCATTTACTGGGAAGAGAAGAAGCACTCTGATGGTCCTCTCTCCATTTGAGACTTTCTGTAAGCGGATCAAATTCTCTGGCCCTGCATGGTGTGAAGCTCCACTGTGAGTAACTGCAGCTGGACTGGTCTCTATTGTAACTGGCAAAGGCTGATAGAGGAGCATAAGGAGGAGGTGAAACAAGCTTAGATTCTACAGAAGACTCTGATAGTGTGGGGACGCTGGGGATTCTAAAGCAGGTGTAGGCCTCTGAGGGCCCCTATCTGGAGCTGGTATTAGGCTGTGGGGTCTGGGGTCACTTGTCCATAAAACAAATGATCTTCTACTGGATCTGAGGGGCTTTGTGGCTTACTAGGCTTTAGCCCACAGGTGCTGCATGGAGCTGGGTTTTGTTGTCGGGCCAGAAAGTCTTGCACATAGGATACTTCAGACCATTTTCCCTGATTACTACAGAAAAGATCTAGCTGTATGATGGTGTTAAATTTCACAGTCTCATTCTCCAGCCATGTTTTGTCAGCTAATCTGTATGCAGGCTAAATAGTTTTACAAAAGAAGATAATTGTTTTTTTGCTTCATTTAGCCAAAAGCTGTTTCAATTTTTAAATATACATCCCAGGTGTGTTTCAGTGACAGTAGAGGAAGTGATTCCCATGGTGCCGAGAGAATCCTGCAAACGACAGAACATGTACTAAAGTCCAGGAGGCTGTGGGCAGCCCCATGAGCCAAGTGGAACCACCAAGTTGTCCAACTCATCCCCTTGAAACCCCATTAACTGAAGCTCTAGGAGGTCATAGGCATTTGCCATGCACCGTCCTAGCTCTCACCAGCGCTGGACATCTCCAGCCCTGCCGAGATGACCCCCACTGCTCGCTGGGGGGCAGATGTCTGGCTGACAAGCCTTTCCCTAATTCAGTGGTTTGCCATTTATGATGCCCAATTATAACACCTGCAATGCTCAGATTCAATCCCTATGACTGGGCCTATCCATGACTGTGCATCTTTTGTTCAGCAAAGAAAGCCTGTTGAAGAACAATTTCAAGGAGCTGGGAAATGCATAAAGCCTAAAGGGACAGGGTTTCCCCAGAACTTTAGTGAAACAGTGCTGGAAGAACCAGCGATAGTTAACCAGGTAGTCTGGAAGTGCCACAGTATTCACGGCAAGTAAAGGGAAAGTGAAATCAGTGAAGCGGACAGACCTCTCTCCAGGCCATGGCAAAAGAAATGTTGATGGCTGATGTAATACCTTGATTCTTATTTTCTTAGTTTAAAAGAATTCAAACAAGAAACACACAGCAAAAGAAGTACAGCATAGAGTAATTTATTGCACACAAAAAAAGAAAAGACTACTTTGAAAATTAAGTGCAGAATAGACGGTACATTCTGAGAAAGAGATTCCAGGGCAGGCTGCTCATAAGAGTGAGACACCATTAATTGTTACTGGAGAAACCCTCCTTCTGGGGGTTTTGCACGATTATTCATAAGAAGGTGGAAAGAAGTGTTAGTGTAAGCATGTTTTGAGTGGTCTTCTGGGTGCACATGTGCACTAACTGTACATATTTGTGCATACATTGCATGTCTCATTAGCATCTTAAGTCTCCACCTAGGAATGTGTTTTTACTATTAAAATGAGCAAAAGTTCAGTTTGAGGACAGATAAAATCAAAATGCACATGTTCTCTAGAAGTAAAAGTCCCTACTGAAGATAGCGGGTTTCAAACGACCCCAAGTGCTCCACATCTTAAATGTCGCTCCAACAAAGCTGGAACACTATCTGCTCCTGAGGGATCCGGTCCCATTTGTGTTTCTGAGACACTGGCAAGTCAGGAGTGACTTGAGATGAGACCGATGATTTCAAGTGTAAAATGCCTAAATAGTCAGCAGCTTCAGGTTTCATTTTGGAGCTTGTCCACTTAAATGGGTTGATGAAAATGGCTCACAAGACTCATGCCTCGGAAATGGGGTTTTCTCCTTTGCTCTTAGCAGATTTTGTGCAACCCAATAATTAACCTTCCTGATGCCTCAACTTTCACATTCGTGAAAAAGGCGCCATTGACAGTGACATTTCCAGGAAGCCACAGACCTTGTCACCCCCTACAGAATTCTGAAGCTGTTCATAAGCAGGCCACGTGGAAGATTTCTCTCAAAAGCTGTTGAGCATGAGGCTTGGCTAGAGAAAAAAGAGGGCTGCGGCACAATGGACAGTGTCTCAGACATCAGGACAGTTTCCACAGCAGTTTAGGAAAGAAGGCAGCGCCCTGGGCTGCAGAAGGCGCAATGCTCTGGGAAGAACCCTGGGTGCAGCTGAAAGAGGAACTTGAGAAGGATAGGGCCAATCAGTTGAGGACAACCCGCCCGATTTGGGCAAAGGTAAGGTGCCTATGTAGGGTAATACCCTCCTCAATGCTCAGCGCAGACCTGTCCTCTAGGTCCACCTATGTACTCATTCTCCTTGGCAAAGAGTCGGCATAGCATAAGAACTCAGCAGTGCTTTGGACACCGGGAAGTCCACACCGCTCTGCCCCTCCCTCCAGGGCTATGCACCCCGGGTCCCGGTACATGCTGTGATTATAGTTCTGAAGCCTACCGACAAACAGGCTGAGAGCAGTTAACAGACTACAGCTCCCAGCATATTAGGTAGGGCGTGTACCACTCGGCCCCTTCTTCCAGGCCTGTACCTCGCCCCCGAGACTGGCACATGCTGGGATTGTAGTCCTGTAGCCCTTTGACCAAAGGGCTGGGAGTGTTTATAAGAATACATCTCCCAGCAAGCCGAGGGAGACGCACACAGCCCCGCCTCTTTCTCCACTGACGGGCCGTGTCCCTGACCCCAGTGCATAATGGGATGGTAGTCCTGCAGCCCTGTGACACAAGTTCTGGTAGTCTTTATGAAACTACATCTCCCAGCAAGCAGAAGGAGGCATCCACATCCTAGACTTTTCCTCCAGTAATGCGCACTCTCCCTGAGCCGGGTGCATGCTGGGATTGTAGTCCTGCAGCCCGGTGATGAGAGGTCTGGGAGTGTTTATGAGACTGCAACTCCCACCAAGCCCAGAGAGGCGTGCACAACCCTGCCTCTTCCTCCAGTGACGCGCACATTCCCTGCGCCCGGTCCATGCTAGGATTGTAGCGCTGCAGCCCAGTGACCAAAGGGCTGGGAGTGTTTATGAGACTGCATCTCCCAGCAAGACCAGCGAGGTGTGCAGAGCCTCGCCCCTTTCTCCACTGATTAGCGCACTCTCCCTGATCCCGATGTATGCTGGGATTGTAGTGATGCAGCCCAGTGACCAAAGGGCTGGGAGTGTTTACGAGAATACGTATCCCAAAAAGCATAGCGAGAACAGCACAGGTCCACCTCTTCCTACAGTGACGCGCGTTGTCCCTGAGCAGGATGCATGCTGGGATTGTAGTCCTGAAGCCCTGTGACCAAAGGGCTGGGAGAAATAAAGAGACAACATCTCCCAGAAAGCCCAGCAAGGCGCTCACACGCCTTTCTCTTCCTCCAGTGAGGCGGACTGCCCCGGCGCCCCGTGCATGCTGGAATTGTAGTCCTACAGCGATGTGATGAAAGGGCTGGTAGTGTTTATGAGACTACCTCTCCCAGCAAGCCCAGAGAGGTGCGCACAGACCTACCTCTTCCTCCAGTGACTAGTGCACTCTCCCTGAGCCAGAGATATGCTGAAATTGTACTGCTGCAGCCCTGCGACCAAACGACTGGGGTAGTTATGAGACTGCATCTCCCTGCAAGCCCAGCGAGGCACGCACAGCTCCACGTCTTCCTCCAGTGATACACACTGTCCATGAACCCGCTGCATGCTGGCATTGTAGTCCTGCAGCCCTGTGACCAAAGGGCCAAGAGACCACATCTCCCAGAAGACCTAGGGAGACGCACACAGCTCCGCATCTTTTCCCCGTGTCGCATACTGCTTTGATCCCGATGCATCCTGGGATTGTAGTCCTGTAGCCCTGTGACAAAAGGTCTGAGAGTCTTTATGAAACAACATCTCCCAGCAAACGCAGCGAGGTGCGCACAACCTGCCCCTCTTTCTGCAGTGATGTGGACTCTCCCTGAGCCCCGTGCATGCTGGGATTGTAGTCTTATAGCACTGTGACCATAGGGCAGGGAGAGGCCATGGGACTACATCTCCCAGGAAGCCCAGCAAGGCGCACACTGCCCTGCCTCTTTCTCCTTAGACTAGCGCACTGTCACTGAGCTGGGTGCATGCTAGGATTGTAGTCCTGCAGCCTTATGACCAAAGGGATGGGAGTGTTTATGAGAATACATCTCCCAGTACGCCCAGGAGGTGCACACAGCCCTGCCTCTTCCTGCAGTGATTAGCGCACTATCCCTGAGCTGGGTGCATGTTGGGATTGCAGTCCTGGATCTCTGTGACCAAAGGGCTGGGAGCGTTAATGAGACTACATCTCCCAAAAAATCACAGCTAGAAGCGCAAAGCCCTCCCTCTTCCTCCAGTGACGCGCGCTGTCCCTGAGCCCAGTGCATGCTGGGGCTGGAAGTGTAGTCCTTCAGGCCTGTGATGAAAGGGCTGGGAGGTTTTATGAGAATACAACTCCCAGCAAGCCTGGCGAGTAGCACACAACCCCGCCTCTTCCTCCACTGACGCACAATTTCCCTGAGCCCGGTGCTGGCTGGGATTGTAGTCTTCCGCCTCTTCCTCCAGTGACAGGCACTGTCTCTTAGCCAGGTGCATGCTGGGATTGTAGTCTTCCCGCCCTATGACCAAAGGGTTGGGTATGTTTATGAGAATACATATCCCACCAAGTCCAGCGAGGCGTGCACAATCCCGCCTCATTCTGCAGTTACGCGCACTATCCTTGATCTTGGTGCATACTGGGATTGTAGTCCTGCTGCCCTGTAATGAAAAGTCTGGGTGTCTTTATGAAACTACATCTCCCAGGAAGCCAAAGGAGGCGCGCAAAACTGTGTCTCTTCACCCAGGCACATGCACTATCCCTGATCCCGGTGCATGATGGGAATGTAGTCCTGCAGCCCTGTGACCAAAGGGCTGGGAGTGTTTATGAGACAGCATCTCTCAGCAAGCAAAGCAAGGCCTGCACAGCCCCGCCTTTTCCTCCAGTGAGGCGCACTGTTCATTAAGGAGTGTTCATGAGATTACATTTTCCATCAAGCCCAGCGAGTCACGCACAGCTCTACCTCTTCCTCTGCCGGCGCGCACTGTCTCTGATTCCGGTGTATGCTGGAATTGGGGTGCTGCAGCCCTGTGACCAAAGGGCTGGGAGTCTTTATAAGACTACATCTCCCAGCAAGCACAAGAGGTGCTCACAGCCGCACACCACCCTCCCCGCCCCACTCTTCTTTCAGTGACCGCGCACTGTCCCGTGAACCTGGTGCATGCTGGAATTCTCCCGTTGCGGGATTCAGGAGGATGAGAGAGACCCCGGGTTGAAACAGGAGAATTTTTATTGAGTGCACTCAGTGTCAGGCCTCTGAGCCTAAGCTAAGCCATCGTACCTTCTGTGACCTGCACGTACACATCCAGATGGCCGGTTCTTGTTTTAACTGATGACATTCCACCACAAAAGAAGTGAAAATGGCCTGTTCCTGCCTTAACTGATGACATTGTCTTGTGAAATTCCTTCTCCTGGCTCATCCTGGCTCAAAAGCTCCCCGACTGAGTACCTTGTGACCCCCCCACTCCTGCCCGCCAGAGAACAATCCCCCTTTTTCCTTTACCTACCCAAATCCTATAAAATGGCCCCATCCCTATCTACGTTTGCTGACTCTCTTTTCGGACTCAGCCTGCCTGCACCCAGGTGATTAAAAGCTTTTATTGCTTACACGAAGCCTGTTTGGTGGTCTCTTCACACGGACCCCCATGAAACTGAGGACAAGCTAACTCACATCAAAAAGACTGGGCCCGGAACAAAGACAGAACCTGACTTTTATGCACATTTCACAAAAGGTGGTGGGCTAGCTTGAAGCAAGTTTACAGTGGCGTGAAAGCAGGGATACAGAGGCAGGACAGACAGGATTGCACATGACCGTTGCCAAGCAACCCACATGTCCATTTTCTAGGTTTCCCTGGGCATGGGCTTATCCTATAACCCTCACTATGGTGCCCAAACAGCTGTAGTTCAGCCTACTCAGGCTTCTCATGACTTACATTGTACTTCTTAGATAAAACAGAATACTTGAAGTCACTAGTTACAGAGAACAAGAATCTATAAACTCATTCCGTAAAAAAAGGAAATTTGTTTTTCTTTTCCCGATGTTGGGGGAGCGTTGGGAGAGCCTCCAGAGCACATTAGATAATATTATCAAGACTATTCCTGGTTCTGGGCTGTGCCTGTTGAAGCCTCTGGGACAAGTCAGCCCAATACAAGAAAATTTATTTCTCTTTCTTTTTAATTTTATTTTTCTTTAATTTCCCTCCTCAGTCCCACAGCCCTGTGACCAAAAGACTGGGAGTGTATGTCAGGCCTCTGAGACCAAGCCAAGCCATCGCATCCCCCGTGACTTGCACGTATACGCCCAGATGGCCTGAAGTAACTGAAGAATCACAAAATAAGTGAATATGCCCTGCCCCACCTTAACTGATGACATTCCACCATAAAAGAAGTGTAAATGGCCGGTCCTTGCCTTAACTGATGACATTATCTTGTGAGAGTCCTTTTCCTGGCTCATCCTGGCTCAAAAAGCACCCCCACTGAGCATCTTGCGACCCCCACTCCTGCCCGCCAGAGAACAAACCCCCTTTGACTGTAATTTTCCTTTACCTACCCAAATCCTATAAAACGGCTCCACCCTTATCTCCCTTCGCTGACTCTCTTTTCGGACGCAGCCCGCGTGCACCCAGGTGAAATAAACAGCCATGTTGCTCACACACAGCCTGTTTGGTGGTCTCTTCACACGGACGCGCATGAAATGTACAGTTACGCTTCTGTTCACTTGTCATGAGACTGTTTTCTTTTACCCCCATGAACGTACTTACCATAGCTTCTTTCAAATCTTATCTACTGATTACAGCATCTTGCACATCTTGAGAATAGGTTCTATTGTCTGCTTTTTATCTTGTGAATCGATTACACTTTCATGCTTCTTCACACATCTCATGAATTTTTAAATTGTGTGATAGGAACTACAGGGACTCTGGATTCTGTTGTATTTCTTTGAAAATTATTATTTTAAGAGGGAGTTAATTTGAATAGATTCAAACCCCAATCCTTATCTCTTCCACAGTGGCATAGATAAAATCTTCATTCAGTCTTCTAAACAGTGTGCCTTTCTATATAGCAAAATATAGTATTTTATTAAGCTTTATTATTGTTATCTGTGAAATAGTTATTCAACGAACTAGTCTACTTCATTATTACTGGAAACCAGAACCTCAGTTGTGTTCACTTTCTGGATTTTATATAAGTGAAATTATATAATATGTATACTTTTACATCTACTTTCTTCTAGGCAACTTTATATTTATGATATTAATTCATGCTATTGCAGATAGCTATAGTTTGTTTATTTAAAAAATATTTTTTACATTTTGGCAAAGTATACATAAAATTAACCATCTTAACTATTTTAAGTGTTCAGCTCAGAGAAATTAACTACACTCACATTGTTTTGCAACTATTATTCCCATTCATAAGGATCTTTTTTCAACTTCCAAACCAAAATTCAATACACATTAAATAACAGCTCCCTGTTACTCCCCCTCCAGCTCCTAGGAACCACTCTTCTACGTGGGTTTCCAGAATTTAACTACTCTAAGTATCTCATAAGTGGAATGATACAGTATTTGTCCTTTTATGACTGGCTCATGTCACTTTGCACAATGTCCTTAAGGTTCATGCATGACGTACCATGTGTCAGAATTTCCTTATTTTTCATAACTGAATAATATCCCACTGTATGTATAAATCACATTTTATCTATTTATTCATTGATGATAATTCAAACAACACAGGTAATTCAAAAACCTTTTGAGTGATGTGAGTCATGCTGCTATGAGCTTAGGTGTACGTGTATTATTTTGTGTCTTCGCTTTCACATCTTTTGCAACATACCAAGATGTGAAATTGCTGGATCATACGGTGATTTTGAGTGTAAATTATTTCGTTACTATGGTGTTGTTTTATAGCAGCTGCAGCATTTTACATTTCCACCAAGTGTACAAGGGTTCTAACTGCTCCACTTCCTCACCAACACTTGTGATTTTCTGTTTTTTTTTTCTTTTTGTACTAGTTATGCTGATGTGCATTAAGTGATATGTCATTTGGGGTTAGATTTTCATTTTACTAATGAAAATGAAAAGGTTTTGTTGAGTACCTTTTCATGGGCTTATAAGCCACTTCACATAATTTTTAGAGAAATATCTGTTTAAGTATTTTGCCCATATTTTAAACAAGTAGTTTATTATTGCTGAATTGTTCTTTGTATATTCTGGATAGAGTCCTCTTTATCTATTTTTCTTTTGTTTCTTGCATTTTTGGTGTCCTGTTAAAAGAAATCACTGCGAAATCCAGCCTTATGACGTGTTTTACCTACATTTTATACTAAGAATTTTGTAGTTTTAGCTCTTACATTTAGGTCTTTGATCCAGTTAGTTAATTTTTTCTTATAGTAGAAGTTAAGGGCCCAGCTTCACTCTTTTACATGTGGGCACCCAATTTCCCCAGCACTAATTGTTGTAAAGGCAGTTCATTTCCCATAAAAATCATTTGACCTTATATATGAGGGTTTATTTATATGGGCCTTCTATATTACTCCATTAGTCTCTTTGTAGCATGCTATTTTGGAATTTTGTAGTAAGTCTTGAAATCATTAAGTGTGACTTGTCTAACTTTGGTATTTTTTTCAAAATTATTTTTGCAATTTAAAGATCTTTGAGATTCCCCATAAACTTAAAAATTGATTTTTTAATATCTACACAAGAGTAATTGGCATTTTACTTCTTCGTTACTTCCTAACTACTTTATTCTTTTGATACTATTGTAAATTGAATTGTTTTCAGAGTTTTCTTCTCAGATTATTCATGTTACTACATAAAATGCAGTTTGTTTTTGTATGTTGATTTTGTATGCTACTATTCAGCTGAATTTATTAGTTGTAATATTTTTTGGTGGAATCTTAAAGATTTTCTACATATAAGAATATATTTTCTGTACACATTTTGATGCAGTTTATTTCATTGTCTTTTTTAATTTCTCTGAATGAAACTTCTAATACAGTGTTGAATAAAAGTGGCTAGCAAGAGCAGATATTCACTCTGTCTTCGGAGCTTAGAGGAAACACTTTTGATCTTTTCCTCTGGAATATGTTGTTTGCTGTGGGTTTTTATATGTGAATTTTACAAAGCTGGTTTCCTTTTATTCCTAATTTATTGTTTTTATTATAAAATATTTTGAATTTTGTAAAATACGTTATCTGTATTAATGAGAGAATACTTTTTAAAAAGTTTGTCAATGTGGCATATGCATTGATTAATTTTCATATGCTTAAACTTTTGTTAAGAAAGGCTAGCTAAGTGAACCAGTGAGACTGGAAAAAGAATAAAGAAATCTATACTGGTTGTGATCAATTATTTGTAAACACCACTGCACTGAAACCACCCATATGCTAAAACTTCCTTTCATTCCAATAATAAACTCCCCTTGGTCATGGGTTGTAATCTTGCTAGTATGCTGCTGAATGTAGTTAGCTAGGATGTTGCTGACTAGTTTTGCATCCGTGTTCATAAGGGATATTAGTCTATGGGTTTTTGTAGTATCTTTGTCTGGCTTCGGTATGAGCTAATGGTGGCTTCATGGAATAAGTTTGGAACTGCTCTCTTCAGGCTTTTGGTAGACTTTGGAAAGGATTTTTGTTCTATAAATGCTTGATCTAAATCACTAGTGAAGCCAACAAAATAAGGGCTTTTCTTTATGAAGAGGCTTTTAATTACTGATTCCATTTCCTTAGTAGTTTTGTATCTATTCAGATTTTGTATTTCTTTGTAATCAAGTCTTGTATACCTAGGAATCTGCCCACTTTATCTACGTTTTCCAATTTATCATCCTATCATAGTTCACAGTACAGTTTTTTAAACATTTTAATTCTTTGAATTAGTAGTAATGTCCCACTTTCATTTCTCATTTTAGTATGTGAATATGCTGTTAATTTTTTGTGTGTGTAGCTGAAAGTTTGCCAATTGTTAATTTTTTGAAGAAGTGAGAATGAACTTTTGGTTTTTTGGAATTCTGTGGTTTGTATAATCTCCATTGCATTTATCTCTGCTAAAAGCTTTAATATTTTCTTCTTTCTCTTTGCTTTGCATCTAATTTGGTGTTATTTTTCTAATTTACTAGGTGATAAAGTTATTATTTATTTGAAATCTTTGTTCTTTTTAAATGCATTTTAGCTGCAAACTTTACATCTTAGCACTCTTTTTGCTGTTTCCCTTAACTTTTGATGTGTTTTGTTTTCATTTTTCTTCCTCTGTAAGTATGTTCCAACTTCCTCTGTGATTTCTTCCTTTACTTATTTGTTGTTTAAGGGTATGTTGTTTAATTTATACAGTTTTGTAAACTTTCTAACGTTTCTTCTGTTATTGATTTAATTTGAGATCTACTACACAGCCCATCGTGGGGAAATCCCCATGTGCATTTGAGAAGAGTGTGTAGTCTCTTTTGTTGGATGGAGTATATTGTATATATCTGTTAGATCAATTTGGTTCATTGAGTTATTCAAGAACTCTATTTCCTAATTTATCATCTATCTCATTTTTCTATTCATTACTCAGAGTGGAGTATTAACATCTTCAACTATTATTTTAGAACTGCCTTTTTGCCCCTTTAATTCTGTCAAGTTATGCTTTCTATATCTCAATGTTTTATTATTAGGTATGGGTTTAAACTATTTCTATCTTCCTGCCAAATGGACAATCTATGACTATATAATGTCTTATTGTCTCTTTTAAGTTTTTAAGTCTATTTTGTCTGCTATTAATATAGTCATTCCCAGTCTCTTTTTCATACTATTGGTATAAAATAATTATTTTCTTCCTTTTTTTTTATAACCCTCAAGTCCTGTGGAAGGCTAAGAGCAGCATTACTTAATTTAAAAAGCAGATAAATCTTAAATCCATAGTTTAATATTTCTAAAAGCATTTAAATGGAAATGAGCTACGCAGTCTACCAGGAACGAAGGATATCAGTTGGGTCTAAGAATAATCATGTCAAAAAGCTCTAGGAGGAAAAGCTGCTGGGAATTAAGACTGTGATAACGGTCTTTGGGATCAAGAAGGAAATGGGGAATTGGGGATGCTCAAGGTCAGGTACATGCTTAGCAAAAGACCCAGAAAACCCTAAGCTCTCACCTCTGCATTTTAAACTCTGCACAAGTAGAAAGTAGAGGCTCAAGGAGAGATGTAACTTTATGCTGATTGGTAAAGGCATGCTCCAACACACATACATAGATCTCAGGTGAAAAAATCAGATATTTATGTTTAGTGAGAGTTAAAAAATCTGGAGTCTTACTTTCCAATTAAGGTTTAGTGAAAATATTTGGGGAGATTTGCATTGATCAATTCATCCTGAGGTCAAGAAAATCTTGATTTTGGCATTTGGAGCCTCTAGTAAAGGACTAGCCTCCTCCCAGAGGTGTTCTTTGGGCTTTTGGACTCAGTGACACACTACTGGTTACACTGATTTGAAAGTCAGCTAAGAGCTTGCTGCAGAACTCCTGACAAACTCAGTTTCACCCATAGAGGGCTAGAGCATCCCCAGCTGGTTGAAATTTTATGCCTCCTTCTATCCTCTGAAGCAAAGATGCTGTCTCTGTGGGGCCCCCAATTTACTGAGTGTTTCCTATATGACTGGTCCTGGTTCATAGATGAGTCAGGGAAGGTGAAACCTCATGATGTCCACTGGGCTGCTGTGGCTGTTTAACCTGTGCCAGCCATACAGAACCTGACATGAGTGGTTGCTCCTCTCAAAGGTCAGAACTCAGGGTTTGGGATAATGGCACATATTCTATCTGTTTGGTTATCTACAATGGAAACTGTAGACTGTCTGAATATCTTTTGGGCTGCAAACTGGAGACAATCTCAGATGCTGATCTAACTGGATCACTCATCTAGAAGTCCATGGTAAGGGTTTGTTTTCTAGAGAGTGACAACAATCAAGCTGCAGATTGAACCTAAATCTGTGTCTAACGCAGAGTCTAATACTGCAAACCAGACTTGGGGTTGCTGGTGAAAGTTGACCTATTTGTCTCATGGTTGAAGAATTCCTAGACCATACCAAGCAGAGTAACCAGAAGTGGACTTTTGGCCCACTTCTTGAGATATCAGTCACCACTCTTGACATCTTCAGCATAACAGTATGCCGACACCATCCATACCATGTGTCCCGTGAAGCTAATCTGTGCCATCTTTTAGGCTTTTGAGACCAATTGAGCTCTGACTTCGCGGCATTTTTCACCACACGTACTAAAACAAGCCAACTCTATGATGTTCCCTCCTTTTCCACACATGCTGGTTAGATAATTTGTTGATTAGGTATGGTTTATTTTCTCTTCCTGATTGCCTCCAAGATAAGGATGAAATGTTTGGGGGATCTAGGAATCATCTAGGAATCTATTTCACAAACTTGGAATTTCGTGCTAATAATTCCTGGGTGAAATGTGACTTTCTTTCCCATAACTGCAATTCTAGGCAAGCCTGGCTTTTGTATCCTCTGAGTTGCATCTCAGCCTAGTAGCAGTTATGGGACTCCAACTTAGTTCCAGCTAAGTTTTATGTAAATATTCTTGTCTCTATTTTACCTGGCTCTAGTAGATAAAGTGTCTAGAAAAAAGTAGAGGGCGACTAGAATAAAGATGAGATTATAGGTACCGGAATGAGACACACTGATTCTGTGGAAGTAGTGGGAGAACAACCTGGAACCTGGGGTATGAACAACACAGACCTCGGAAGCTACGGGAAACGGTGGGACATTAACAACTTTTTTTCTTTCTGAACAACCCCTGGTGCAGCCCACAGAAAGGTCTGGAAATACTATTAGTTAGATCAGACGGTAAGGCAGAGGCTGTGGATTCATCTCCTTTTGGTCCCCACATTACTCTTAAGAATCCTTTGAGACTATTCTATCTCTCCGTGATGTAGGCATGGAACTCTAGTGGGCAGTGTGCACTCTCGGTGCCCATGGTTCCAGGCCACAGTTTTTCAGATGATGGACAACAATTGCTTTTTCCTGAAGAGACTTAGTACCCTGTGGCTGAGCTTAAGCGGGACTCTAGACAGCATTGATTGCATTTTCTTCTTCCTCTACGAACTGGGATTTCTCCTTCTGTTTTTCTACTGCCTAGAGGTGAATCTGTATTTGTCAATATTTAGGTAAATCAGAGACATAAATCAGGTAAGGAACCCTAGACACTGCTTCTAGGCTAGCTGGACTCTTGCCTATTTCCCTTCTCACTTTATGAGATCAATTATATTGGCACAGGTTGATACCCTTAGATAGTGTCTCTAAGGAGCAATTAGAGAAGCATACTTCTAGAGAAGCTGGTAGGACAGGGCAGGAGGGCCAATGAGGATCAAAGTTTCTGTCCAAATTTTTGAGCCTAGGTGTGTGTGGCCGACGAATCCAGGAAAGATCCCAGATCCCTGGAAGGGATTGTTAAGAGAGGATCCATTAGATTAGAATGCTAGGGTGGGTGTTCATCCGTCGCCTTCTGAGTGGGATTTTCAGGGTTAAGACTGAGGTAGGGCTGCAGAGAAATGCTATCCTGGGAAAGCCTCTGATCGAGTGCAACATAGGTGGCTCCAGCACAAGGAGAAGTCCTCTATTTGAGGAACATTATACTTGTGTGGATGTGTCTGTGCTCTTCCTCAGCAGAGCCCCACTGACTGAATGATTGTTTGAGAATTATGAGTAAAGAGCCCTATATTATTTTGAATTTAGTAAATATTGGAAGAGAAACAAACAATATTATCTACTTTCAAATTGAATAACAGCATGAGCAACTTTCAGGAAAATGTCACAGGAGGAAACTCCAGGGCCTTGCTCATCCCTGGAAACCTTGAAAATCCTGATGCAACCTGTAGGGTTAAACTTATCAATACTTAATTTTTTGCCATATAGATTTATCTTCATAAAAAATATTTTCATTGGACCTTCATTTTGATATATGCCATGAAGAATAAATCATTTATTTCCTTTGTGATAAGAACATCACATTTTTACACCTCATGTATAAATGATGCCATCACCCATGTAGTTTTTATTGCTATGGCCTGAATGTTTATGTCCCCTTTCAAATTCATGTGTATAATTTTAGGCGTGAGGCCTTTGGGAAAGTGGTGAAGCCAAGAGTTCTTCATCTTCATGAATGGAATCAGTGCTCTTTCAAAGGAAGTTGAAGGGAATGCCCTTGTCCCATGTGCGAGATGGTACCATCTATGGGGAATAGGGCTCTCACCATATACGAAATTTGCTGCTGCCTTGATCTTGCACTTTCCAGACTCCATAACTGTGAAAAATACATTTCTCTTATTTATCCTTTACCCAGTCTAAGGTATTTTGGTATAGCAGCCAAGATGCACTATGACACTTTCTTAGACACTTTGGTTTATTTCTGAATTTTTAGTTTCAGTGATCCATGAGTTTTTTAATCAATCAAGATTTTACACAGGGCTTGCCAGTGGTTTTTTTTTTTTTCAGAGTTTTCTTGTCTATTCTTGTTTGTGTTTTCATCTATATAACATTTTATAGTAACGTGTACTTGCAATATTTAATGGTATCAGTATAGGAACAAAATTGAATTTATAAATAACTATAAGGACAATTGATGTTGATAATATTGAGTTTTTCTGCCTAAGAATATGATACAAATTGTCTATTTGCTTATGTCTACATTCATATATTTCATAAACTTTCTATGTTTTTTCCATATTCCGTAGATATTTTTGTAATATTTATTCCTAGTTTATTCTGCTAAAAAGTAATTTGAGACACAATGAAATTGCAAAGTGTTTATTTGAGTAAGAGCAATTGATAAATTATAAAATATCAGACGGAAAGATATTGAGTGCTTCATTGACAGTGTAAGAAGCAAGTATTTATTTGAAAAATGTAGAAACAAAGAAATCATTTGGTGGTAGCACAACTTTTTTTATTGTTTTTTGTTTGTCTGTTTACCTTGTTGGACAGTTTCTATTTATATAAGGTTGTTGGCTACTTCTGACTGGTTGAGCTTCATTTCTCTTTTTTCAATATGCAGCTACAAGAAATAATTTAAGTTTTGTTTGTATTTGCAAATCAAGCGAGGTTGAGATCACTTATGAGACCTAACTAATTTTGTCTGCTCAGAGATTATTGAGACATGATCTCCATTTTAATTTCCTTTAACAAATTTTCTGTACTTTTACTTTCCATCCAAACAGTAACTTATAAATTATTATTGTTGTACATATGTAGGCCCATGTTGTGTATGCTTTGAAGACCTGTCCTGCATTCAAACTCATTTGTATTATGTTATTATTGAATTTGCCCCATTTATTGGAATTATAAACTGCAATCCCCCAACTACAAGAGGTATGAGCTCTGATGAGATAAGAGTAAAGATGAATCAGAAGTGAAAACAGTCCTCCAACCCACACATGCAGTAAAAACAAATTTCACATGAATACAATGAGTAATTATCTAAAATTTAAAGTACCCTGAAAACATTAATGTTTATCTCATTATTATGTAATATGGAAATTACAAGGCAAAAAAATCCAAAGACTTACTGTTTAAATATAATTGAAGTTTTTTATATGATGAAGTGCTCCATAATTTAAATGTAAAAAGCCAATAGGAAATATATGAAATAAAATAAAATTATACGTAAAAGTGACAATGCCTCTATTAGATTTAACAGTATCTTACAATAGAATAAGTTGAAACCTACAAAATGGAAGAAAGTTTAAAATTAGGCAGATATTATCAGCCTGGTGAAGAATAAATACATATGTCAATAAGCATTTAATGTATTTTGTCTTAGATTTTACATGAAATAATAAAAAGTAAGCAAACCAATAGCATGGTAGTTTCACCCTGATTGATTCAAACTGAAAAAATATTAACATTTCTCCATGAGAAGTTGGATTCATGGATTGGCCTCATGCTGCATTCAAGGCACTTTAGCCAGGATCCAACACTCATTGCCAAGAGTCAGCAGGCTAGAAGTTTGCTTTTAAGATGTTCCCCGGCCTGCGACCAAGACGCTTTTTCCTGACTACTTCTTCAACTCTGACATAGGTTTTGCTGATATAAACGCAAACCCGGCTCTATACCTACCAAGTATCTACTTGGCTAGAGCTGCAAATGGAGCATTTAGGCACTAGGCAAGAGCTCTTCCCACGTTTCCAAGCACACTTTCTAGAATTTCCCAAAACTACTGACATTGTCTTTCAGACCCCATCTCCCAAAGAGAATCAGAGAGATGGTCTGGAAGCCATTTAGAATCTCCAGCCTCCAACCTAGTAACAATGGACTTGGATACAAAGACGCAACCTACTGACCTCAAAGACACCAGCCCAGATTCTGGGCATTGAATTCCTGCCTCCCCATGAAAGATCTCAACTGAGTCACATCAAAGCCCACACTCTTCTTCAAGGTTCACCTTCCAGACACGCTCCAAAACAGTCCCTCAGAATTGTCTTGAGATGAAACAAAAGGTGATGAAGGTCCAGGTTTGGAATGCCTGCCTCATTCTTCACTCCTGAAAAGTCTACACCTGCTGGTTAGCACTCTCATATGTTAGGGAGCCCGGGCTCTGAGTGCATCCTTTAACAGGACCTCCTGGCCTTTTCCTACTTGGAGTAGAGTGCCCAAGAATAATAGGGAATACAAGGCCTCCACTCTCACATGGCTTGATTGACTGATGAACTGATGTCGGAGGAGGAAACATATGTAGGGAACAGCCTGGGTCTTGTGAATCCGTTTCCCAGCTATGATGCCTGTGCAAATGGAGGGAGAATCGTCAAGTATTATTGGGTGGTAGACAGACACTGCCTAATAAAATTAAGTAAATGTAAGGTGACTTGAAGGGGAATTTATCATATGTCATATACAAAATTTTAGTTGGTCAACTTTATTTAAAAACAGTCACAATTTGTAAGGGCATTCAAATATAATTTTAATAGGGAGCTATGAAAATTATCTGCACTTGCTATGTAAGTGATTGAGTTAGGGGTAACTATCTGAAGGTCATGAGCTTGATATCTGCTACTTAATTTCATAAGACATTTACTTGCAAATGGTTGCCATTTTTGCTCTCACTATATGAAAATTTTTTCTTGCAAAGAGCATTCCTATGAAAGAAAAACTAGAAATTTTGCCAATTTCGGCTATTAAAACGATAAAACTGGTTTGTTTGTTATTCTTAACCAAATGCTCTTACAGATGACACATAGTACCCATGCTTTGATTGTTTTTTGTTTTTCTTTTCACCTTAGGTCAATTGCCTTTCATTTTATTTATCAAACTGTATTTACTGTAGATAGACATTGCAGTTCTCATGTGCCCTATGGATTTGTACTTTCTTAGAAGTATGAAAAAATTCTCAGGCTGAGTATATTGGCTTATGCCTGTAATCCCAGCAATTTGGGAAGCCGAAGCAGGTGGATCACCTGAGGACAGGAGTTCAAGACTAGCATGGTCAACATGGTGAAACCCCATCTCTCTACTATTCACAGTTCACATTGTACCTTGCAATGAATATACATTTTATCCAAAAAGGCTAAAAAATAATGAAATTGGGGTGGAAATGGCTGGAAGTATAGGTGAAACAAAAATGACACATGACTAGTAGCTGTTAAATCTGGGTGACTGGTCTGTTATCCTTTTTTTGTATTATGTATACGTTTTTAATGTTCTGTAATAAAACACGTGTAGAAAATGACAAAGTTTATCTACACTTAGCTCTTAAGGTCTTGGTTACCTTTGGGAAGGAGAAAGTGTCAAGGGCATGAGCAAATCTGATTCTTACATACACAAGTGTATTTATTTAGTAATAATTCATCAAGCATTCCATAAATATTTTGTTCCTATATTGCTGTATGCATGTTATTCATCAATAAATATTTAAATAGTACATATTTGCATAACAATCCTAAATTAATATTTTAGAATAATAGTAATGTTTTGTTTTGTTTTAAAGTGGGGCGTGTTCACTCAGGACATCGTCAGGTGTATATTAATGTTCCAAGATATTTATTTACGTTTTAACTTTTGGAAGAGTCCCCTAGGTCTTTTAATTTTTACCTCAGTACAGTAAGTAGCATGGTTTTAACTTTTTGGATTGCAGCTTTGTTTTCAGAAAGGTTCTCCCCGAAGAATGATGCTCACCCCGGCCAGCGCACACAGCACAGTGACCCGTGCACAGGATGCACTGAGCACACACGGCACTGGGTGAACCATGAACAGAAGGACAAGCCAGCCTGGGTCTGCAAAATATACTTTGCAGGAAAAGCAGGTAAAATTGAAAGGTCACAATTCAGCAGCAAACGTTTTTACATTCATTTGAGAAATCATTTCTAACAAAAGCTGCTCGTTAAAGCCATGGTTTTCTGGCTTGCCTACACATTGTAATCACCTGCACAACTTTCAACCGTATTTTTTTCAGATCCAGCTCCAAGGATTCTGATTTAGTTGTGCGGTTACAACTTGGGTTTAAGGGATTTTGATAGTTTTCCTCCCCGCAGGTGACTCTCTTGCGCCAGGGGTAAGAAGCGCTGGATAGGGGTGAGGGGTGCTTTAGCTGTGAGAGATAGCCATGTACGCTTCAGGATTTGCCCCATCGCATATCTGGAGTTCGGGGTCTTAGAAAATATTCTTGCCCTGTTAAAAATTAAAGGATGGCTTCAATACAAATTTAGCTATTTGGCTACGTTGCAGAAAAAGAAAATGCCTTTCCAGAGATCAGTTTTTTGAGTCAGAGTTTTGTTCTGTCAGTGAGGCTGGAGTGCAGTGGTGTGATCATGGCTCACTGCAGCCTTGACCTCCCAGGCTCAGGTGATCCTCCAGCTCCAGCCTTCTGAGTAGCTGGGACTGAAGGCATACACCAGGCATGGCTAATTTTTCAATTTTGTTGTTGTTGTTGTTGAGATGGCTTTCTCTATGCTGCCTGGGCTAGTCTCAAACTCCTTGCCTCAAATGATCCTCCCACATCAGTCTCCCAAACAGTTCAACCTACACGAACAGGCAACCATGCCTGGTGTATTTATTAAAATGTAGCTACTAGAATATTTAAAATTCACATGTGCCTCACATATTATTTCTTAGAGAATTGCCTCATTTTTGAAATCTCAGGCTGCCTGCTCTAAAACCTGGATGTGCCAGGAAAGTAAAACATCTGAAATTTTAAAACAATTGTCATTATATTGCTTCCATGTATGAATAACACATATATATTTTTCATAAATACAAATAATCTTACACACAAATGAAAATGCAAGTATTTTACAGGCAGGGCCAGTGTCCAGTGCATGAAGGAAGCCCTGCCAGAAAAGGATCCAGGAAAAACTTATAATTCTTGCTTTATTCAATCCAGTGTCAAATCACATATGTCACTCATGGCCTGAGGGGGCTTGGTGGGGAATTGAACTATATCCAATCATGGGTGCTGGAGTGGAAATTATCTAATCAGGTGCACAGCTGGAGAAGAATGGGCAGCTTTTTGGATCTAGGGATGCCTTTGCCTGTCTCTCTACTCAGAGCTCAGGACACTAGAGCCACCTCAACGCAATTGCCTGTTTTTTAGTTGTTTTAATGCTCCAAAAGAGAATTAGTTTTCTCATGCATTTTCCAAATGTGTGGCAAGAAGAGCCTCAAATCTACCACCCTGTTACCCCAGCCTAACTCTGGCTTGCTGTCAGAGTTTAAATTTCCAGTTCTTTCCTGACACTTACCAACACTAACTAACCTTGTGTAACTCACAACATTATCAACTGTTCTTTATTGTACATTTTAGACACAGTATTTTAATTCTGCATTTTTTCAAAAAGCAGTGGATGACACTTAAAAAAATATTTTTCATTTGTAAACATTTTACAGGACATGAAAGCAGATAATAATCCCCTGACAATCCACAGTAAAAAAAAAGAAAAGAAAAGAAAAGAAAATATTTGTGCCCCTTTCTTTAATCTTCCCTTGGCACAGACACCCCATCAGAATGTTTTTGGGTTGAGGTTTCATTTCAGAAACCTCACAGGGCAATACATCCTCAGCCATCTTGTGTTATTTTCTTGGTTTTGGGTTTCAAAACTGTTTGAGAATCCCCAAGATACCAACACTGGCCATGACTCTTGAAGTGTCTAGTAAATAACATCCCTTGTGTCATCTCCTCTCAGGGAACAGCCCAAGGTATGGGAATGCAGCCTCTTTTTGGAGTGGTTGGATGCACTATACCTGGAAGGAATCTCCACGTATACATTTGCGCTAAAAGCAAACCCTTTAGGACATTAAGAATTTCTTACCCCAACGCTTAGTTTCCATTCCTTAGAGACACATTGCATGCCAGGCAACTGGATGCTGAATAGTGAGGAAAAAATGTCCTCAGATTGGTGAAGGGAGAGAAAATATTTCAAAGGACAAAGAAACCCAACCTAGTGAGGCAGTGCAAAAACCTGCAAAGTAAAATGCACCTCACAGACACAGTGGAGCAGAGCGTAGCAGCTCCTGGTAGGACGCTCATGACCCACATCACTGAACCAGATAGAAGCAGGGAAAATATCCCAAGTAATAGAACGGCTTGACTTGACCCTTGGGTCAGATATGTCTGTGTTTCAATCACCATTGTCACCTTCTAATTTTGTCACCTTGAAAATATGATTGTATTTATTTTAACTTCACTTTTTCATTAACTGTAAATTATGTTTTATCAGTAGAGCTTCAAAGGTATGAGAATATTTATAAAGCACATTAAGTTGGTGAATTTTGAATAAAATTAAGTAGTAATGTATTTCATTTGTTAAAAATTGTTACTTACCTATTTCCTCAGCAGAATGAGTGTAGCATGTCTCCCAGGTCTGTTTTTTATTTGTTTGAGAGGTGATTTCAAGCAGAATCTCACAGCTTACTGTTGGAAATGCTATCAGTTGTAAAGATAGGGAAAATCTCTCTTCCACTACGGTGGTAGGAAATGAATACATATCTGCAAGCACATGAGGTAGATTAATTGTCAAATTACATAAATTTATCACATAAGTTATTCTTTTTTTCAAAAGAGAGAACTTGTGAAAGTGAATAACTCTATTCCATATGCTGCCATCTGGGTGTTTGAGGGTAATGTTAAGTTTTAGGAGCTGGGACTTTGCACCTCCTGGAAGTGTTCACATATGATTAATTGTTTACTAAATGATTTGTTTTGAACATAATTAAATTACATGTTTATTTTCTGAAAGGGATAGATACTTTGGCTTTTCTTGATGAATTATAAGATATAAGCCCCTTATAATGTTTTTATTTTATTTTATTCTGTTATTTTTTAGATGTAGTTTCACTCTTCTTGCCCAGGCTGGAGTGCAATGGCAAGACATCTGCTCACTGTAACCTCCAACTCCTGGGTTCAAGCGATTCTCCTGCCTCGGCCTCCCGAGTAGCTGGGATTACAGGCATACAACACCACACCTGGATAATTTTGTATTTTTAGCAGAGACGGGGTTTCTTCATGTTGGTCAGGCTGGTCTCAAACTCCTGATCTCAGGTCATCTGCCCGCCTAGGCCTCCCAAAATGTAGGGATTACAGGCATGAGTCACCATGCCCGGCTGTAATTTCCTCTCTTTTATATCTTAGATTTGAATAATTTTTGCTGGATTCTTCAAACATGAAGTATTTTTTGAATTGAAAACTAACTGAATGACTAACTGGTAAATAGAAGTCTTAGACCATTGACTAAAAGCTAAGGCCCACCTTGACCCTGCAAAAGAGGACCACTGAAGGCCCAGTTGATTATTCCTGGGTGTCTGCCCTGCAGGTGTCCAAGCCTACTCACACCAACCATGGAAGGAGCCTTTGTCACTGCCAGAAGATATAGAGCCTTGGTAAGCTGGAAGTTCACAGGCAGATGCAGTTGAGGTTGAGATAGAAGAAATGTTGGGAGATTCTTTTTAGAATGGAATTGTTATTGTCCTCAGACTGTTTCTAGACTTGGTCTAAGAAGTTACCTAAGAAGTATTGCAACAAAGAAAAAGTACAAATGATTAGATCTTTGAGTATCTCTAAGGTTAGGTGGAAAAGGGCCTTATTTCATAGGGAGGAGAAAACAAGTTTACAAAGAAGGTTGGAAAGGAAGCACACGATGGAGGGTAGCAAAATGCGATCCCAGATAAGATAATGTTTCACCTTGAACTCAGCCTGTTCTTAGGAGGGGTATGTATAAATAAGGGTTGTAGGTTTGCTGAAGCTGTGGGTGAGTCAAAGTTCAGGGGCTGGTTGGAAGAAGAGAAACAAGCAAAGTTTCTTTAAGAGTATGTTATTTGGACCACTGAAGACTAAATTACTGAATGGTTGTTCATTTTTAAAAATGGGAATTTGCAATCTGTGTCCATTTTTGTGATAGGTTAAAAAAACAGCAGGGAGCATCCTCAAAGTCATCAGGGGAAGCACGTTTCTCTTCACTAAGCTGTTCTTTGAGAATGCAAAGAATGGGGGAATTTCTTTAAATATAGCTATTTCCAGGATTGCCTTCACCCACAACTGTTCCTTGCCCTAGACATCTCTTCCATTTGGCTGTTTCTGAGTTATATTTTTATAATAAAGTAGTAAATATAATTACAGTTATTTGTTGAGGTTTTCTTTTTAGTAATTCTATCAAATTATTTAACTTGAAAAGGGGTTTATGCTAGTCTCAGATTTATAGGAGGTAGCTCAGAAGTGTAGATGGGCTTCAGGGATGTGTAACTCTCCTCTACAGTGAGAGGGGTGATGTGGGACTGAGCCCTGAATTTCTGGGATCTGTGTGAACTCTAAGTTGTGTCAGAATTAAATTTTGGGGCAACAAATGGGTGTTGGAGAAGCAGTGGGTTTTCAGGGAACTTTACACATTTAGGATCAAAAGTGTTGTAAGGAGAAAGACAATGTGGGGGCCTCTGCTGGAGAGAGACTCCAGGTGTCTCGGGGAAGGTAGGCTCTGCTCTGCACACAGGCTGCTACACCATGCACTGCCCTGTGGTTCCAGGCATTCTCCCATGGTAAGAAGGACCGACGACTCTGAGGGAAGAAGTTCTGAGAACAGATGCCTTCTACCCTCCTGCCAACCTGAGGCCACCACAGGTTTTTCACCCACTGAACATACACACTGCATGTTGATGTGGCCAAGCCCCTCTCAGGACAAGGCTTTGGCATCAAGATTGTTGCCCATGCTACCTTTCCTCATAGACTTTCCCACCAAAAACCCACACATGTGCCTACAAGACCCCTGGCATACGTTCTACCTCAGACACCGAATCTGCAGGGGCAACCTGGTTTTTTCACCATCCCAGGTTTCTGTGCCACCTGATCATAATCTCGTCTTCCTGCATGGACACAGAAATAAGTCAGAGTAAAGTTTCACCTGGGTCAGTATCTGTAGCATGAACCAGTCCTTCCACCAACCCTGTACTGTCTCCCAACTGTGGGTTCTTAATAGCACCTTCCCCTCTTTTACCTTTTAGTTCACCTCAAACCTTTTATTTACGTGCACTTAGTGTGTCCAAGCCACCCCTCAGTTGCCTGAATCCAGCACCTACTAAAATTCAGATGTCCAGTAGTTCAAGACCATGGGCCTAGACCATGTTTTTGCAGAAGGAAATACATATTAGAAATGAGAGGCTCTATTCTCCCATTTGAAAATTAAAAAAGATATTTTTTCTTTTCCCTTTTCTTAAACAATGTAATTTAGAGAACTTTTTTTAGTAATTTTTTGAAATGGAATCTTACTCTTTTGCTTAGTCTGAAGTGCAATGGCATAATCATAGCTCACTATAACCTTAACTTCTTGGGTTTGAGCAGTCCTCCTGCCTCAACCTCTTAATTACCTAGGACTATAGGCATGCACCTCCAGGCCTAGCTAACTTTTTATTTATTTATTTATTTATTTATTTATTTATTTATTTATTTATTTTTTCAAGACAGTGTCTTGCTCTGTGGGCCAGGCTAGAGTGTAGTGGCATGATCTTAGCTCAATGCAACCTCCGCCTCCCAAGTTCAAGCAATTCTCTTGCTTCAACCTTTTGAGTAGCTGGCATTACAGGCGCACAGCACCATGCCTGGCTAATTTTTTATTGTTATTATTTTTAGGAGAGAAAGGGTTTCACCATTTTGGCCAGGCTGGTCTCGAACCCCTGACCTCATTATCCACCTGCCTCCGACTCCCAAAGTGCTGGTATTACAAGCGTGAACCACCATGTCCAGCCATATTTATTTTATTTATTTTTTTATGGTGACAGAATTTCACCATGTTGCCTGTACTGGACTCAAACATTTGGCTTCAAGAGATCCTCCTGCCTTGGCCTCCCCAAATGTTGGGATTACAGGCATGAACAGCCGTGCCTGGCCTGGAAAACTTTTATATGTATCTTTTTTTCTCTGCTTCTTTGAAATATAAGCAAATCATTTTAACAGCTAAATAAGCCTTTTGCCACTCTTCATGACACAGAATTGTCTTTGTCTAAGACCTGGAAACTATTGTTTTGTTTTTTAATTTGGCAAAGATTTATTGATTTTTTATTTTCAGTCTTTTGAAGTAGGCACAGCTCAGTACAGTGGCTCATGTTTTTAATCCCAGTGCTTTGGGAGGCTGAGATGAGAGAATTGCTTGGGCCCAGGAGTTTGAGACCAGCCTGGGCAGCCTAATGAGTCTCCTTCTTTATAAAAAATTAAAATCAACTAGCAGGGCATGGTGGCACAGGAGGCTGAGGTGAGAGAATCATTTGAGCCCAAGAGTTTGAAGCTGCAATGAGCCATGATCACAGCACTCTACCACAGTACTCCAGCTTGGGTAACAGACGGAGACCTGTCTCTAAATAAATAAGTAAATAAAAAAAAGTGTTTTTCCATACATAAAAATAAGTAAATAAACAGATAAATAAAATAGACATGGATTTGCTGAGAATAAAGCTAATTACAAGATAACAGAAAAGTGAGAACCAAAGATGGGGTTCACCCTAGCAAATGATTCCAGCCTATTAGAACACTCAGAATTTTCCCTGCAGCATGACCGACATGAAAGTAGAATGTCATCATGTCAGGCTGTACCAGCGTCGGGAGACTAAACACTGTGGGGAAGAACCTCCCTTATGGAATATTATCAACAGGTGAGAGCCCAGCTCCTGCCCTGATGGGCTACAGAAATGAGTTCCTGAGATAACACATTGCAGAAACATGCATAGAGTAGTTTAACCTTTTTTGTGTGTAACCCTTTCTCCATTTTCCTGCGAAATCCTCCCTAGTAATAGTGTTAGCTTTTAAGTTTTGAGGGTCCGATAGGACTGAAGCTGCATGCTGCAGGAGATACGTGGGGCCGGAAACTAACACAAACTGCAGCCACAGGCATAAATACTCATGGCCTAATGTAAAGTGAAAACTATACAAAATTCTTTACCGTTATTCGCACAAGTGTGTGAAGAGAGACTTTCCACATAACCAACTTGCCACTGAGACTAGTGAAGGCCAGATTCCACTGGAACAAGGCTATGAGTTACTCATGGGAAGGCCGTAGGACAAAGCCCAGAGATTTTTCATATTTGAGTCTGGGTCCTGTTTCTTTCCCTGTCTTCTCAGCTTTCTGTCTGTAGAGACCCCTATGTGGCTGCTCTCAGCACAGCCCAGTGCTGGCTGTGTTTGCTGGTTTAGTGCACCTGCTCTTTTTCCAAAAAGAGGGAGGAGTTGGCCACATTAAACTGAATGATGAAGCTCCTCATCAATCTGAATGCAGCTTTGTAAATGTGCCTAGAAACCACGCAAAGAAAAGTCTGTGTTCTTCCTTGCTTTGACCGTATGTGACACCTCCATTAGAAATTCTGCTTTTCTCTGCACTCCAGCCTGGGTAACAGAGTGAGACTTCATGATAAATAAAAAAGAAAGAGAGAGAGAAGGAAAGAAAGAAAGAGAGAGATGGAAAGAAAGAAAGAGAAAGAAAAAAAAAAGAAAGAAGAAAGAAAGAAAGAGAAAGAAAAGAAAAGAGAAAAGAAGAAAGGAAAAAAGAAAAGAAGAAAGGAAAAAAGAAAAAAGAAAATAAAAGAAATTCTTCTCTTCAGATTAGGCACATAAGGAGAATCTGTATAAATCTCCATGAAGGAAGGAAACCAGAGGACAAGTTAAAGTCTTGGAATTCACATCTGAGTACACAGACTCGTTCTCCAACCCTCTTCTTTTTATTCTGCCAGCTATGGCCTAGGTATGAACATGACAGGTACACAAGAGTTCCAACACCCGACAATCTACTTCAGTCCAAGAAGAGTGCCCTCCCTCTTGCTCCCCATCCAACTCATGGTACTAAGAAGTGGTGTGGGACTGCCCAGATGAGTTGACAAGAGAGGCTGGCGTGGAGGGGCCTGTCCTGGGCTGCCCTGTGTTATTTGTAGGTGCACCCGGCCAAAAGCCAGGGAAATCAGTGATGAGGGCTCAGTTGACATCTGTGTTATCAGATAAGACTTTTACATTGAGCCTTTGTAAGGCTGAAACTCAGAAATTTCAGGGCACAATGAAAGAGCATCTCACTCTCTTGAGCAACTCTCACAAACAGAGGTGGATACAGAGCTGTCTCAAGAATGTGGATTCCTGGTTTCTTAACTGCTGTTGGGTTCTGACACCAAGAAAGTATGTTAAACTCTTCAAGGTTCCATCTACTGGGCCCCATGTTTCTGTAAGACATACCGAAAGGCCCCACTATGCTACTGATTGCTCAGTCTCCTCTTCCATGTCAACTCTTTATTTGTACACAATTATGCAAACACAACTTCCCCTTAATTCCCTGGAAAGACCTAAATGCAACCTGGGTTCCAGGATAGAAGAGACAGCTGGAACATAACCTTGTTTTTCTTACCATCTCTGGGACCCAGTAAAAGTCACTGTATTCAAGGCTTCCCCAGCCTCCTAACATGCACACTGGTGATGATGCTAACATCTACTTCCTAGGGAATGTATTAGGTGTATATAAGATAAGACATAAAAATAATGATGTAGTGTCACCTGTAGATAATGCATACACTTAGAGATGGAAGCATTAGGAGAATAGGTGGGAGGTAGCATGGGCCACAACTCAAACAGGCCTGGTGTCTGCCAGGGTGATCTTGGAAATATCACTTCTCCACTGGGCCTCATTTTCATTCTGCTCCAGTATGAAGTTGAAATTAAATGTAGATACTGTCCTCTGGCATTCATATAGTTTAGCTGTGCGTCCCCACCCAAAACTCATTGTGTATTATAACCCCTAGGTGTTAAGGGAAAACCTGAGGGGAGATGATTGGATTATGGGGACGGGTTCTCCTCATGCTGTTCTTGTGATAGTGAGTTCTCACGAGATCTGATAGTTTCATAAGCATCTGGTACATCCCATGCTCTCACTCACTTCACTTGTCAGCCACTGTAATTGGAAGGTTTCTGAGGTGCCCCCACAATTATGTGGAAATGTGAGTCAATTAAACTTCTTTACTTTATAAGTTACCCAGTCTCAGGTACTCCATCATTGCAGTATGAGAATGATCTAATACAGGAATTCAACTTTCTAGTGCTTTCTCTTTATATTTAGAATCATATCCATGTGCCTTATCACGTCTATGACAGAGGAAGTCTTCACAAAGTCTCCCAGTACTAGGTATTGAGTGACTCAGTTTTTTATTGAATAAAATGGAATACTTCCTGATGCCAGTACTATGGCCCTTCGGTTTTGAGGAAAATATCATCTTGTATGTTGGCTAACAAGGAGATAGGAGTTCAAATCAAATTTGTTTTGTCATACTGGCTTTAAGGCAGTGATTAGAAAAGGCCTAATAGGTGGGTTCTGTAGGGGATTGCTGGAAGGAAAGTAGGAATATGGAAAGTCATGAGACATATACAGTCATCTCTTCTTGTTTCCTCACAGGTCACATACAAATTCAGGGAGAGTTAGTATGAAGCACACAATGGAAATTTGGGCTCCAAAGTCTGCAAAGTGATGCTTCATGGACTTCAGTTGGCAATATTGGTTCCAACAATTTCAGCCAATGTTTAAAAAACTTATAGCAGTTAAATTTTTAGTGTTTCAACAAGCCGTTTCCTATCTTTCATTCTGAAGATCCATTTTTTAAGTCTTTTTTTTTAACAGTATAGGGGGTACAAATTCAGCTTCTCTCCAATGAAACACAGAAAAGGATATCACTTTTGTATTAGTTCAGGCTGCTATGCCAAAGAACCATAGATAGGCAGCATATAGACAACAGGACTTAATTTCTCATACCTCCAGAGGTTCAAATTTGAGATCAGGGTGTCAGCATGGTTGAGATCTGGTGATGACTGGCTTCTGAATTTCAGCCTGCACACTTCAGGTTTTACCCTCATTTTGCAGGAGGATGAGAGCCCTCTGCGGTTTCTTGTATAAAGCCAGTAATCTGTATTATGAGGGTCCCACCCTAAGGGTTTAATTACATTCTACCTCCTTATAGCATTACGCCCGGGGTTACAATTTTAACACAAATATAGAAGAAAAATTATAGTAACTCTCAAGTTTTTTTTCTTTCTTTCTTTCTTTCTTTTTTTTTTTTTTTTTTTTTTTTTTTGAGACACAGTTTCACTCTTGTATCCCAGGCTGGAGTGCAGTGGTGTGATCTCGGCTTATTGGAACCTTTGCCTCCCAGGTTCAATTGATTCTCCTGCCTCAGTCTCCCAAGTAGCTGGGATTACAGGCATGCGCCACCACATCTAGCTCATTTTGTATTTTTAGAAGAGACGGTGGTTTCACCATGTTGTCCAGGTTGGTTTCAAACCCTTGACCTCAGGCGATCCACACGTCTCAGCATCCCAAAGTGCTGGGATTACAGGTGTGAGCCACCGCACCCTGTCAAGATGTTTTTAAAGCTCTAATTTTTCTCCTACTGGGTTTTTCTCGTTTGCGCCCTCGATCTTTCTGTCTCTTTTTGTGTAAACCTTTTTGTCTAATTCTGTCTATTGTATTCCTCAAACACAGGAAGCAAGCTCCAATGCTATGAGATGCTCCATGTAGAGACCCACATAACAAAGGGTGAGAGGGTGCTCAGACGAGTAGAGAGAAGGAAAGTCAGGCTCTCCAGCCACACTAAACCCTGTCAATTTTCACATGAGTCAGCTTAAAGGCTCATGCTTTCCCAGTCCAGCTTCAGTTAAGACCACAGCCCCCAGTCTCATAAAAGACCTGAAGGCAGAGGTAGCCAGCTGAGCTGTGTCCAGATTCTGGTCCACACACATTATGAGATATTATATGTTGTTGAAAAGTGCTGACTTTTAGGGCAATGTTGTCAGAAAGGAGCAGATATCTAACCTCATCTCCCAGGCCCTAGGATTCTCCATCCCTCTGCTTATCTCTTTCTCAGGCTGTCTGCAGCCAAACTAGTCCCTTTTTACCTCTGCCAAACTCACACCTATGAGTTTTTTCACTAAGGGTGGCTTCTCCCTGACACATGCTTGTGCAGATGCCTCCCTGCTGTCATCCTCATCATGGATTAAAAGTCACCTCAGTGAGGCCTGAGGTCCTCCCATGCAATAATTTTCCAGGTTTTCTTCTCAATAATCTACTTTATATTATAGTCCTTGCTCTTTTCTTTCACATATACTTGCTTTAGTGCTTTTGTCCAGCGGTCCTCAGATTGTTTGGTCCTGGGTTGGGGGGTGCAGACATGAAGTAATAATTTTCTGTACCACATGTTGGACCCACCAGGGTCGCTGGCAAATGGTGAGCGCAAGGGAAAAAAGACTGGCTAAGTGATTATATGGGGGATCCCTAATATCCCTTCCCCTTTTGACCACCTGATAATGTGGACATCACTGATAACAACATGAGGTGTGTGACTGTTACTTGTTCCAGCTGCTCCAGCAAAGCTCAGTGGGCACCAGAAACACAGTAGGCTGTAACCACCTCCTGGCCATCACTAACCCTACAGCCCCAAGCAGGAGCACTACTGAACAAATCTGATACCTTGATTTTTCTGTCCTCAAGACACTGGTTCTTCAAGGTCCTAGGGGATAAAGTAGCAGGATCTGAAGGCCCCAAGTATAATGAGTGAACTAGGAATCCCGTTTTGCCCTCTCTTTGCCTCCACCTTTTTGGTTGTGCTATTTACTCATGAGGTATCCTCCCCTTATCCAGTGAAATTATTTTCTACCACTTTCAAATGAGGACCTTAAGAACGCAACAGTAGCTGAGATTTTCCGTGGACCTCAGCCTCAGAGTCCAGTGCTCTGGCACATTTAACTCTGTCTCATCTTCATCTACCCAAGATGCCTCTCAAGTGGCCATGCCTCCCTCTGATTTGAAGGATCTGCAGAGTGGGTGCATTTTTGCAGTCTCAGAGCAAGAATCCAGGCTGGCAGACACTTATGAGTATGTGAAATCATCAAGGTCACCCACTTCAGGCACCCCTATTTATGAGGAAGAAAACAAGCTTTCCTGTAGGCACTGTCTACATTAGGCTGAGGTGGAGCATAGCTCATTTTACTTCCAGTTGCCCTCAGAGCTGGATGCAGAACCCCAGTCCTGTTATCTTGAAACTGACATGGAGAGGACCCCATGTGAACAGAACCCTGAATCTGCTCATTTTCTGTGCTCCTGAATGTGTAGCTACAGACTCTAATTTCGAAAACAAACCTGATAAGTGGGACGGTGCCAAGGCCTAGGAAGCTGGAGCCCTCTCTAATGCTCTGGAGCCTGCCCACCTCCTGAGATCTGGACCAGTCTCTGCCTCTTCTGGGGCCTCAGTTTCCCAATTGTAATGTAATGAGAAATTAAATGTAAAACTGCATAAACATATGCTCTGTGAGAATTTGGTGTCAGAGTTCTCAATACTGGATGATAATTTGGAGTGGGGTGGGTTTGGGACCCATGGGTTCTCAGGCCTCCTTTCACACCCAGTGCAGTAGGTGTAGAGCTCTGGACAGCCAGGTGTTCTTTCCTGAGCCAGCTGATTACAACACAATGGACCAAGGGCTCTGATCTTAAATATGGTTTCACAGGATACCCCACCTTCAGCCACCACCTGCTCTGTGCTTCCCATATTTTGGGGAGCTGATGACAAACCCCATTATAGTGAAGAAGAACAAGAAACTAGACTTGTGGGCCTGGGGAAAAGAAAAAAACACTTCTATTTCTCCCAAACTGTAGAATCTCTTGTCAAATATTTAATTTTGATTATATCTGAGCTTGATAATACATTCATGTGTTAACAGCTGCTTAAATTTATTTTTTCTGTGAAGTGTGGGATAATGTCTTTGCCGTATTTTAAATCAAATTCTAAAAGCTCTCTTTAGAGTGGATAAGTGAGCATCTTTGTAATATAAACTTCACATATTTGTTGCCAGTTTGTTCTTTTTGTTTTTGTTAAAATGTTTTGTTTTATTCTGATTTGGATGTCTTTTGGCGTTTTGCTTTGTGGCTATTTATTATGACAGTGTAACTTCTCCTCTAATTGACTGACGGTTTGTACATTCTCAATAAAATATTTTCATAAAATCTTTGTAAAAATTGTGTAGTCAATTTTACATTACATAAACATAAAACAGTAAAGACTATCACGATGAAAAAGGAAGATTGAGGGCTTAAAAAGTAAAATACGACACAGCTAAAGTAGTCTGAAAGGGAAATTTACAGCACTAAATCCCCACAAGAGAAAGCAGAAAAATGTCTAAAATCGACACCGTAACATCACAATTAAAAAAACTAGGGAAGCAAGAGCAAACAAATTCAAAAACTAGCAGAAGACAAGATTTAAGATCAGAGCAGAACTGAAGGAGATAGAGACACAAAAAGCCCGTCCAAAAAATCAATGAATCCAGGAGCTGGTTTTTTTAAAAGATCAAGAAAATAAATAAACTTCTAGCCAGACTAATAAGGAAGAAAAGAATCAAATACATGCAATAGGAAATGATAAAGGGGATATAACCGTTGATCCCACAGAAATAAAAAGTATCATTACAGAATATTATAAATACCTCTTTGCAAATTAACTAGAAAATCTAGATGAAATGGATAAATTCCTGGACACATATACCCTCCCAAGTGCAAACCAGTAGGAAGTCGAATCCTTGAATAGGCCAATAACAAGTTCTAAAATTGAGGCAGTAATTAGTAGCCTACCAACAAAAAGAAGTCCAGGACCAGACGGATTCACAGCCGAATTCTACCAAAGGTACAAAGAGGAGCTGGTACCATTCCTTCTGAAATTATTTCAAACAATAGAAAAAGAGGTACTCCTCCCTAATTCATTTTATGTGGCCAGCATCATCCTGAAACCAAAACCTGGCAAAGACACACCAGAAAAAGAAAATTTCAGGCCCATATCCCTGATGAATATCGATGCGAAAATCCTCAATAAAATACTGGCAAACCGAATCCAGCAGCACATCAAAAAGCTTATCCACCACGATCTAGTCAGCTTAATCCCTGGGATACAAAGCTGGTTCAACATATGCAAATCAATAAATAAAATCCATCACATAAACAGAACTAATGACAAAAACCACATGATTATCTCAATAGATGCAAAAAAGGCCTTCAATAAAATTCCACACCTCTTCATGGTAAAAACTCTCAATGAATTATGTATTGATGGAACCTATCTCAACATAATAAGAGTTATTTATGACAAATGCACAGCTAATATCATACTGAATGGGCAAAAACTGGAAGCATTCCCTTTGAAAACCTGCACAAGACAAGAACACCCTTTCTCCCCACTCCTATTCATTATAGTATTGGAAGTTCTGGCAATCAGCAAAAGAAAGAAAGAAATAAAGCGTATTCAGATAGGAAGAGAAGAAGTCAAATTGTCTTTGTTTGCAGATGACATGATTGTATATCTAGAAAACCCTACCATCTCAGCCCAAAATTTCCTTAAACTGATAAGCAACTTCAGCAAAGTCTCAGGATACAAAATCAATGTTCAAAAATCACAAGCATTCCTATACGCAATAATAGGCAAACAGAGAGCCAAATCATGTGTTAACTCTCATTCACAATTGCTACAAAGGGAATAAAATACCTAGGAATCCAACTTAAAAATGATGTAAAGGACCACTTCAAGGAGAACTACAAACCACTGCTCAAGGAAATGAAAGAGGACACAAACAAACGAAAACAATCCATGCTCATGGATAGGAAGAATCAATATTATGAAAATGGCCATATTGCCCAAAGTAATTTATAAATTCATTGCTATCCCCATCAAGCTCCCATTGACTTTCTTCACAGAATTAGAAAAAAAACTACTTCAAATTTCATATGGAATCAAAAAAGGTCTTGCATAGACAAGACAATACTAAGCAAAAAGAACAAAGGTGGAGGCATCATGCTAGCTGTCTTCAAACTATACTAAAAGGCCACAGTAACCAAGACAGGATGGTACTCGTACCAAAACAGATATATTGACAAATGGAACAGAACAGAGGCCTCAGAAATAACACTCAACATCTAGAATCATCTGATCTTTGATGAACCTGACAAAAACAAGTAATGGGGAAAGGATTCCCTATTTAATAAATGGTGTTGGAAAACTAGCTAGCCATATGCAAAAAACTGAAACTGGACTTCTTCCTTACTCGTTATACAAAACATAACTGAAGATGGATTAAAGACTTAAACATAAGACTTAAAACCATAAAAACCCCAGAAGAAAACCAAGGCAGTACCATTCAGGACATAGGCATGGGCAAAGACTTCATGACTACAACACCAAAAACAATGGCAACAAAAGCCAAAATTGACAAACGAGATATAATTAAACTAAAGAGCTTCTGCACAACAAAAAAAACTATATCAGAGTGAACAGGCAACCTAAAGAATGGGAGAAAATTTCTGCAATCTATCCGTCTGACAATGGGCTGATATGTAGAATCTACAAAGAACTTAAACAAATTTACAAGAAAAAAAGAAACAACAACATCGAAAATGGGCAAAGGATTTGAACAGACACTTCTCAAAAGGAGACATTTATGCAGCCAATAAACAAATGAAGAAAAGGACATCATCACTGGTTATTAGACACATGCAAATCAAAAACACAATGAGAAACCATCCCACACCTGTTAGAATGGTGATCATTAAAAAAATCAGGAAACAACAAAGGATGTGGAAAAATAGGAAGACTTATACACTGTTGGTGAGAGTGTAAATTAGTTCAACCAGTGTGGAAGACAGTGTGGTGATTCCTCAAGGATCCACAATGAGAAATACCATTTGACCCAGCAATCACATTACTGGGTATATACCCAAAGGATTATAAATTATTCTATTATAAAGATACATGCATACGTATGTTTATTATGGCACTGTTCACAAGAGCAAAAACTTTGAAACAAACCAAATGACCATCAATGATAGACTGAATAAAGAAAACTTGGCATGTCCACATCATGGAATACGATGCAGTCATAAAAAGGATGAGTTCATGTCCTTTGCAGGGACATGGATGAAGCTGGAAACCACCATTCTCAGCAAACTAACACAAGAGTAGAAAAGCTAACATCGCATGTTCTCACTCATAATAGGGAGTTAAACAAAGAGAACACACGGACACAGGAAGGGGAACATCACACACTGGAGCCTGTCGGGAAGTGGGGGACTATGGGAGGGATAGCATTAGAAGAAATATTCCTGGCCTAGGCCACTATTGCGATTTTCTAAATTTTGTTTCAAAAACATGATATGTTTCAAAAATTGTTATTGGTATGTAATTATATAAATATATAGTTCAGAAAAAAGAATCAACATTAATTATGCTTTTTCCAAAATACTTTATGGTTTTGAGCTCTTCTAGCAGTGACATTTTTGCTGTAGGTAATTGCTGTGTATCTGGTATATTCATCATAGCATACTTTGTGCCGTTTACACTTATCCTTCAATTTCCCACTCTCCTAAGTGTAAAAGTTCAAGGCCAGAGCTCCCATATCTTCCCAATATTACTTTTTGAAAAGAAGCTTCTATGTACTGTTTTCTCTGGGTCTTGATTGGATATATTGCTAAAAGAGCTGAAAAATAATAATTTTTTTAAAAATTCGGTGATGAGATTAAAGTAAATATATTTTATAAATCTAATGTACAAAATGAGGTCAGCTGAGAAGACAATGACAGTTGAAGCAGAACCTGAGATCCTGTTTCTCTCCATTGACATATGAACTTAACTACAATTGGGCGAACAAAGCCAGTTGAGTTTGTAGCACCCCACATGAGAAAAAAGCCAACCATAACCACATTTAGAAGAAAATTTGGTCACATTTGTGCACTACAGAACAGCGCAGTTAGATAAAAATCTGTCCATTCCATGATTCTCCTTTGGGAAAGAAAAAAGAGTGAAATGCGTATGCAAACTTCTGACTTACTGAGTTATACCGGGGTTATCTAAAGACTGGAAATTGCTTCCTTTAACATTTAGTGTTGATGAGAATAGAGACTGAGTTTAAATGACAGCTTGGGTCAACTGAGAATAAAGATAAATGCTTCTTACAACAACAGAGACTGTAGTGCCTACAACAGTGACGAAGGGAAGAGACTAAAGGCTCCTAAGAGGAAACAGAGGTAAACCTTATTAACAAGAAAATACATACAGTAGTCCAAAGAAGACACATTTTGACAACAGATTGGAGAAGCTCCCAGTATGACTACTGTGGCTGAATGTTGTCAATTTTCCCATGTATAAAGCTCTTTCATAAAGGATAAAATAGGTAGTGGTTTCTTAATTGATCAAAACCTTAACAAAACTACAGTAAGTAAAAGCAACCAGGAAATATAACCTAATCAAAGGAGAAAAATATATATTCAAGTGAACCTAAAGAAGTGGAGATCTAGGAATTATTTTTTTAACTTAAAATCTTTTTATTTTTCTTTACTTTTTCATTTTATGCAGAGGATCTTACTTTATCTCCTGGGACAGAGTACACTGGTGGAATCACAGCTCACTGTAACCTCAAATTTCGGAAGTCAAGCAGTCATGCCACCTATGTCTCCTGAGTAAATATGACCACAGTTGTGCACATTACCCCTCCTGTATAGTTTCTTTAAAAAAATTTGTACAAACAGTATGTTGCTGTGTTGCCTCGGCTGGTCTCAAACTCCTGGTCTCAGGCAATCCGACTGCTTCAGTCTGAAAGTGCTGGCACAAGCTACCATACCTGGAATTGTTTCTCTTTTAAGAAAAAATAGCTTTAAATCATTAATAGTAAAATAAAACAAAGAAAGGTATTGCGTAACGATAAAGGGTTCAATTCAACAAGAAGACTTAACTATCGTAAATGTAGATGCACCCAACTTTGGGGAACATAGAGTTATACAACAATTACTGCTAGAACTACAATAAGCCTCAAGTAGACACACAATAATAGTAGGGGAATGCAACTCCCCACTAAGTGTTTGACAGATTATCTAGGCAGAAACTTAACAAAGAAATTCTGGAGTTTGATTCGACACTTGATCAATTGAAACTAATAGACATTTATAGTATATGCAACACATCATCTAAAGAAAGTAAATTCTTCTCATCTGCTCACAGAATATGACAGGCCACAATGGAACAAAGATAAAAATCAATACCAAGAAAATCTCACAAAATCACAGAATGATATTGAAATTAAACAACTTGCTCCTGAATGAATTTTGGATAAACAAAAAAATTAAGGCAGAAAATTAAAAAGATTTTGAAATAGAAGAGACACAATATAACAAAATGTCTGGGTTGTAGGAAGAGCTCTGTTAAGAGGAAAGTTGAGAGTGCTAAATACCTGCATCAAGAAGTTAGAATGATCTCAAACTAACAATTTAACATCACACTTAGAGAAACTAGAAAAATAAAAACTAACTTACCCCAAAGCTAGCAGAATGGCAAAAATATTCATAACCTATGAACCTGACAAAATCTAATACTCAGAATCTATAAGAAACTTAAAGAATTCACAAGGAAAAAATTACCCCATGAAAAAGTGGGCAATAACAGACACTCTTCAAAAGAACACATACAAGTGGCCAAATAACATGAAAAAAGCTTATCATCACTAACCATCAAGGAAATGTAAATAAAAACCACAATAAGACACCATTGTACACCAGTTAGAATGGTTTTTGTTAAAAAGTAAAATGATAATAGATGTTGATGGGGTTTTAGAGGGAAAAAACCACTTATACACTGTTAATAGGAATGTAAATTAGTTCAGCCACTGTGGAGAACAGCTTGGAGATTTTCCAAATAACTGAGAGTTAAACTGTGATTCAACCCAGCAATTTCACCGCTGGGTATATACCCAAAAGAGAATAAACTATTCTACCAAAATAGCACATGCACTTGTTGGTTCATCACTACACTATTCATAAGAGGAAGGACCTGAATCAACCTACGTGCCTATTCATGGTAATTTTTTATTTTTTTGAGATGACGTCTCACTCTGTTGCCCAGGCTGGAGTGCAGTGGCACGATCTCAGCTCACTACAATCTCCACCTCCCAGGTTCAAGCAATTCTCCTTCCTCAGCCACCCGAGTAGCTGGGACTATAGGCGCATGCCACCAAGCCTGGCTAACTTTTGTATTTCCAGTACATACGGGGTTTCATTACGTTGTCCAGGATGGTCTCGATCTCCTGACCTCATGATCCACCCGCCTTGGCCTCCCACAGCACTGGGATTACAGGCATCAGCCACCATGTCCAGCCTATTGATGGTAAATTGAATTTAAAAAGTGTCACATGTACAGCAATACTACTTAGCAAAAACAAACAAAAAAAACCTCCTTTGCAGCAACGTTAACACAACTAAAGGCCATTATACAAAGCAAATTAATGCAGAAATGGAAAATGAAAATACTGCATATTCTCACTTATAAATGGAAATTAACACTGGGTACACATGGACAGAAAAACAAAAATAATAGACAACTCTTAGAGGGTGGAGAGAGGGAGGGACCAAGAACTGAAAAACTGTCTACTTAGTACTATGCTCACTACCTGATTGATGGAATTACTCATACTTCAAACCTCAGCATTATACAAAATACCCATGTAAAAAACCTGTGTAGGTACCTCCTAAATCTAAAATAAATTTGAAATTCTAAAAAGAGGTCTTACTCTCTCACCCAGACAGGAATACAATACGATGATTATAGCTCAATGCAGCCTCAAGTTCCTGGGGAACTCAAGGAATAATCTTACGTCAGCCTCCAACTTCCTGAGACTACAGGAACATTCCACAATGCCTGAGTAATCTGTGAAAATATTTTTTACCAATAGCTTGTCACAATATTGCCCGGGGTAGTGTCGAACTCCTGGATTTAAGTAATTGACAGGGTTTGGCTCTGTGTCCCCAATCAAATCTCATCTTAAATTGTAATAATCCCCACATGTCCTGGGAGGGACCCTGTGGGAGGTAATATTTTTATCAAAATATCAATGACATTTTTTCACAGAAATAGAAAAAATATTTTAAATTTATGTGGATCCACAAAAAACTCTGAATAGACAAATAACTTTGAGCAAAATAAGCAAAGCTAAAGGCATCACTTTATCAAACTTCAAAACTTGCTACAAAGCTATAGTAACCAAAAGAGCACTGTACTGGCATAAAAACAAACACATAGACTAATGTGCCCAAGAAGCCCAGAAGTTAGTTTATGCACCTAAAGCCAACTGATTGTCAACAAAATTGCCAAGAACACACTTTAGGGAAAAGCTAATTTCTTCAATAAATGATGCAGGGCCATTTAAATATTTAAATTCAGAAAAATTATACTAGACCCCTGTGCCTTGCCATATATGAAAATCAATTCAAACTAAAGACTTAAATGTAATGCTATCAATTATGAAACTATTAGAGAAAAACTAAAAAATGCTTTATAACATTCGACGGGGAAAGGATTATTAAAATAACATGTCAAAACATAGGCAACAAAATCAAAAATAAGCAAACAACATTATGTCAAACTAAAATGCTTTTCCATATTAAAAAAACTAAAAGATTGAAGAGACAGCTTAGGCAATAAAAGAAAATGCTTTCAGGCTATACATATGACAAAAGGCTAATATTCAGAATAAATAAGAAACTTTAAAATCTCAAAATAAAATACACTTATAATCTAATTAAAAAAATGCAAAAGATC